>NC_000003.12:91072458-91233586 GCF_000001405.40 Homo sapiens | reverse complement strand
TATGTCTAGTTTTTCTGTGAAGATAGATTCTCTTCTACATAGGCCTGAAACCGCTCTAAATATTCACTTGGAAATTCTACAAAAACAATATTTCAACACTCTTCTATCAAAAGGAAGGTTGAACTCTGAGAGTTAAACGCACACATCACAGAGAAGTTTCTGAGAATTCTTCTGTCAAGGTTTATATGAAGAAACCCCGTTTCCAATGAAGGCCTTAAAAAGTCCAAATATTTACTTGCAAGTTCCACAGAAAGAGTGTTTCATAACTGGTCTAGCAAAAGAAAGGTTAAACTCAGTGAGTTGAACCCACACTTCACAAAGTAGCTTCTGAGAATCATTGTGTCTAGTTCTCATACGAAGATATTGCCTTTTCTACCATAGACCTCAAACGGCGCTAAATATCCACCTGGAAATTCTACCAAAACTGAGCCTCAAAAGTGCTCTATTGAAAGGAAGCTTCACCTCTGTGAATTGAAGGTACACATCACAAAGAAGTTTCTGAGAATTCTTCTGTCTAGTTGTAAATGAAGAAATCACGTTTCAAACGAAGGCCACAAAGAGGTCCAAATATCCTCCTGCAGATTCTACAAAAAGAGTGTTTCAAAACTGCTCCATCAAGAGGAATGTTCAACTCTATGCGTTGAATGCAAATATCACAAGTAAGTTTCTGACAATACTTCTGTCTAGTTTTTAGGTGAAGGTATTTCCTTTCCTACTGTAGGCCTCAAAACGCTCTAAATATACACTTGCAAATTCCACAAAAAGAGTGTTTCAAAACTGCTCTATCAAAGGAAGTTTAAACTCTGTCAGCTGAATGCAAGCATCACAAAGCAGCTTCGGAGAATGAATCTGCCGTAGTTTTTCTGTGAAGATATTTCTTTTTCTGCCATAGACCTCAAACCGCTGTGAAAATCCACTTGGAAATTCTACAAAAAGAGTATTTCAAAACTCTTCTGTCGAAAGGAAGTTTCAACTCCATGAGTTAAATGCACATATCACAAATAATTTTCTGAGGATTCTTCTTTCAAGTTTTATATGAAGAAATCCCGTTTCCAAGGATGGCCTCAGAAAAGTCCCAATATACACTTGCAGATTCTACAAAAAGAGTTTTTCGAAACTGCTCTATCAAAAGAAATGTTAAACTCTGTGAGTTGAAGGCACACATCACACAGTAGTTTCTGAGAATCATTCTGTCTAGTTTTTCTATGAAGATATTGCCTTTTCCACCATAGGCCTCAAACGGCGCTAAATATCCACTTGGAAATTCTACAAAAAGAGAGTTACAAAACTGCTCTATCGAAAGGAAGCTGCAACTCTGCGAGTTGAAAGCACACATCGTGAAGAAGTTGATGAGAATTGCTTCTGTCTACATTTGTAGGAATAAGTCACGTCTCAAACGAAGGCCACAAAGAGGTCCAAATATCCACTTGGAGATTCCACAAAAAGCGTTTTTCAAAACTGCTCCGTCAAGAGGAATATTCAACTCTGAGAGTTGAAGGCAGGTATCACAAAGTAGTTTCCGACAACGCTACTGTCTAGATTTTATGTGAAGACATTCCCTTTTGTACCACAGGCCTGAAAGCACTCTAAATATAGAATTGCAAATTCCACAAAAAGAGGGTTTAAAACCGCTCTATCCAACGAAAGCTTAAACTCTGTTAGCTGAATGCGCACATCGCAGAGTAGCTTCAGAGAACAATTATGTCTAGTTTTTCTGTGAAGATAGTTTCTCTTCTACATAGGCCTGAAACCGCTCTAAATATTCACTTGGAAATTCTACAGAAAGAATACTTCAACACTCTTCTATCAAAAGGAAGGTTGAACTCTGAGAGGTAAATGCACACACCACAGAGAAGTTTCTGGGAATTCTTCTGTCAAGGTTTATATGAAGAAAGCCCGTTTCCAATGAAGGCCTCAAAAAAGTCCAAATATTTACTTGCCGATTCCACAGAAAGAGTGTTTCATAACTGGTCTATCAAAAGAAAGGTTAAACTCAGTGAGTTGAACCCACACATCACAAAGTAGCTTCTGAGAATCATTCTGTCTAGTTTTCCTATGAAGATATTGCCTTTTCTACCATAGGCCTCAAACAGCGCTAAATATCCACCTGGAAATTCTACAAAAACTGAGTTTCAAAAGTGCTCTATTGAAAGGAAGCTTCAACTCTGTGAGTTGAAGGTAAGTATCACAAAGAAGTTTCTGAGAATTCTTCTGTCTAGTTGTAAATGAAAAAATCACGTTTCAAACGAAGGCCACAAAGAGGTCCAAATATTCACTTGCAGATTCTACAAAAAGAGTGTTTCAAAACTGCTCCATCACGAGGAATGTTCAACTCTGTGCGTTGAATGCAAATATCACAAATAAGTTTCTGACAATACTTCTGTCTAGTTTTTATGTGAAGATATTTCCTTTCCTACTGTAGGCCTCAAAACGCTCTAAATAAACACTTGCAAACTCCACAAAAAGAGTGTTTCCAAACTGCTCTATCAAAGGAAGTTTAAACTCTGTCAGCTGAATGCAAGCATCACAAAACAGCTTCGGAGAATGAATCTGCCTAGTTTTTCTGTGAAGATATTTCTTTTTCTGCCATAGACCTCAAACCGCTGTAAAAATCCACTTGGAAATTCTACAAAAAGAGGATGTCAAAACTCTTCTATCGAAAGGAAGTTTCAACTCCATGAGTTAAATGCAGATATCACAAATAATTTTCTGAGGATTCTTCTTTCAAGTTTTATATGAAGAAATCCCGTTTCCAAAGATGGCCTCAGAAAAGTCCCAATATACACTTGCAGATTCTACAAAAAGCGTTTTTGAAAACTGCTCTACCAAAAGGAAGGTTAAACTCTGTGAGTTGAAGGCACACATCACAAAGTAGTTTCTGAGAATCATTCTGTCTAGTTTTTCTATGAAGATATTGCCTTTTCCACCATTGGCCTCAAACGGCGCTAAATATCCACTTGGAAATTCTACAAAAAGAGAGTTACTGAACTGCTCTATCAAAAGGAAGCTTCAACGCTGCGAGTTGAAAGCACACATCACGAAGAAGTTTATGAGAATTCTTCTGTCTACTTTTGTATGAAGCAGTCACGTTTCAAACGAAGGCCACAAAGAGGTCCAAATATCCACTTGGAGATTCAACAAAAAGAGTTTTTCAAAACTGCTCCATCAAGAGGAATATTCAACTCTTGAGAGTTGAAGGCAGGTATCCCAAAGTAGTTCCCGACAATGCTTCTGTCTAGATTTTATGTGAAGACATTCCCTTTTGTACCACAGGCCTGAAAGCACTCTAAATACAGAATTGCAAATTCCACAAAAAGAGGGTTTAAAACCGCTCTATGCAAAGAAAGGTTAAACTCTGTCAGCTGAATGCGCACATCACAGAGTAGCTTCAGAGAACAATTATGTCTAGTTTTTCTGTGAAGATATTTTCTCTTCTACATAGGCCTGAAACCGCTCTAAATATTCACTTGGAAATTCTACAAAAAGAATATTTCAACCCTCTTCTATCAAAAGGAAGGTTGAACTCTGAGAGTTAAATGCACACATCACAGAGAAGTTTCTGGGAATTCTTCTGTCAAGGTTTATATGAAGAAATCCCGTTTCCAATGAAGGCCTCAAAAAAGTCCAAATATTTACTTGCAGATTCTACAAAAAGAGTGTTTCATACCTGGTCTATCAAAAGAAAGGTTAAACTCCGTGAGTTGAACGCACACATCACAAAGTTGTTTCTGAGAATCATTCTGTCTAGTTCTCCTACGAAGATATTGCCTTTTCTACCATAGGCCTCAAACGGCGCAAAATATCCACCTGGAAATTCTACCAAAAGTGAGTTTCAAAAGTGCTCTAGTGAAAGGAAGCTTCACCTCTGTGAGTTGAAGGTACACATCACAAAGAAGTTTCTGAGAATTCTTCTGTCTAGTTGTAAATGAAGAAAGCAAGTTTCACACGAAGGCCACAAAGAGGTCCAAATATCCACTTGCAGATTCCACATAAAGAGTGCTTCAAAACGGCTCCATCAAGAGGAATGTTCAACTCCGTGCGTTGAATGCAAATATCACAAATAAGTTTCTGACAATACTTCTGTCTAGTTTTTATGTGAAGATATTTCCTTTCCTACTGTAGGCCTCAAAACGCTCTAAATAAACACTTGCAAACTCCACAAAAAGAGTGTTTCCAAACTGCTCTATCAAACAAGTTTAAACTCTGTCAGCTGAATGCAAGCATCACAAAACGGCTTCGGAGAATGAATCTGCCTAGTTTTTCTGTGAAGATATTTCTTTTGCTGCCTTAGACGTCAAACCGCTGTAAAAATCCACTTGGAAATTCTACAAAAAGAGTATTTCAAAACTCTTCTATCGAAAGGAAGTTTCAACTCCATGAGTTAAATGCACATATCACAAATAATTTTCTGAGGATTCTTCTTTCAAGTTTTATATGAAGAAATCCCGTTTCCAAAGATGGCCTCAGAAAAGTCCCAATATACACTTGCAGATTCTACAAAAAGAGTTTTTCAAAACTGCTCTATCAAAAGGAAGGTTAAACTCTGTGAGTTTAAGGCACACATCACAGAGTAGTTTCTGAGAATCATTCTGACTAGTTTTTCTATGAAGATATTGCCTTTTCCACCATAGGCCTCAAACGGCGCTAAATATCCACTTGGAAATTCTACAAAAAGAGAGTTACTAAACTGCTCTATCGAAAGGAAGCTTCAACGCTGCGACTTGAAAGCACACATCACGAAGAAGTTTATGAGAATTCTTCTGTCTAGTTTTGTATGAAGAAGTCACGTCTCAAACGAAGGCCACAAAGAGGTCCAAATATCCACTTGGAGATTCCACAAAAAGCGTTTTTCAAAACTGCTCCGTCAAGAGGAATATTCAACTCTGAGAGTTGAAGGCAGGTATCACAAAGTAGTTTCCAACAACGCTTCTGTCTAGATTTTATGTGAAGACATTCCCTTTTGTACCAGAGGCCTGAAAGCACTCTAAAGATAGAATAGCAAATTCCACAAAAAGAGGGTTTAAAACCGCTCTATCCAACGAAAGGTTAAACTCTGTCAGCTGAATGCGCACATCACAGAGTAGCTTCAGAGAACAATTATGTCTAGTTTTTCTGTGAAGATATTTTCTCTTCTACATAGGCCTGAAACCGCTCTAAATATTCACTTGGAAATTCTACAAAAAGGATATTTCAACCCTCTTCTATCAAAAGGAAGGTTGAACTCTGAGAGTTAAATGCACACATCACAGAGAAGTTTCTGGGAATTCTTCTGTCAAGGTTTATATGAAGAAATCCCGTTTCCAATGAAGGCCTCAAAAAAGTCCAAATATTTACTTGCAGATTCTACAAAAGGAGTGTTTCATAACTGGTCTATCAAAAGAAAGGTTAAACTCCGTGAGTTGAACGCACACATCACAAAGTTGTTTCTGAGAATCATTGTGTCTAGTTCTCCTACGAAGATATTGCCTTTTCTACCATAGGCCTCAAACGGCGCTAAATATCCACCTGGAAATTCTACCAAAACTGAGCTTCAAAAGTGCTCTATTGAAAGGAAGCTTCACCTCTGTGAGTTGAAGGTACACATCACAAAGAAGTTTCTGAGAATTCTTCTGTCTAGTTGTAAATGAAGAAATCACGTTTCAAAGGAAGACCACAAAGAGGTCCAAATATCCACCTGCAGATTCTGCAAAAAGAGTGTTTCAAAACTGCTCCATCAAGAGGAATGTTCAACTCTGTGCGTTGAATGCAAATATCACAAGTAAGTTTCCGACAATATTTCTGTCTAGTTTTTATGTGAAGATATTTCCTTTCCTACTGTAGGCCACAAAACGCTCTAAAGAGACACTTGCAAATTCCACAAAAAGAGGGTTTCAAAACTGCTCTATCAAAGGAAGTTTAAACTCTGTAAGCTGAATGCAAGCATCACAAAACAGCTTCGGAGAATGAATCTGCCTAGTTTTTCTGTGAAGATATTCCTTTTTCTGCCATAGACCTCACACCGCTGTAAAAATCCACTTGGAAATTCTACAAAAAGATTATTTCAAAACTTTTCTATCGAAAGGAAGTTTCAACTCCATGAGTTAAATGCACATATCACAAATAATTTTCAGAGGATTCTTCTTTCAAGTTTTATATGAAGAAATCCCGTTTCCAAAGATGGCCTCAGAAAAGTCCCAATATACACTTGCAGATTCTACAAAAAGAGTTTTTCAAAACTGCTCTACCAAAAGGAAGGTTAAACTCTGTGAGTTGAAGGCACACATCACAAATTAGTTTCTGAGAATCATTCTGTCTAGTTTTTCTATGAAGATATTGCCTTTTCCACCATTGGCCTCAAACGGCGCTAAATATCCACTTGGAAATTCTACAAAAAGAGAGTTACAGAACTGCTCTATCGAAAGGAAGCTTCAACGATGCTAGTTGAAAGCACACATCACGAAGAAGTTGATGAGAATTCTTCTGTCTACTTTTGTATGAAGCAGTCACCGTTTCAAACGAAGGCCACAAAGAGGACCAAATATCCACTTGGAGATTCAACAAAAAGTGTTTTTCAAAACTGCTCCTTCAAGAGGAATATTCAACTCTGAGAGTTGAAGCCATGTATCACAAAGTAGTTACCGACAATGCTTCTGTCTAGATTTTATGTGAAGACATTCCCTTTTGTACCACAGGCCTGAAAGCACTCTAAATATAGAACTGCAAATTCCACAAAAGGAGTGTTTAAAACCGCTCTATTCAAAGAAAGTTTAAATTCTGTCAGCTGAATGCGCACATCACAGAGTAGCTTCAGAGAACAATTGTGTCTAGTTTTTCTGTGAAGATATTTTCTCTTCTACATAGGCCTGAAACCGCTCTAAATATACTCTTGGAAATTCTACAAAAAGAATATTTCAACACTCTTCTATCAAAAGGAAGGTTGAACTCTGAGAGTAAAATGCACACATCACAAAGAAGTTTCTGAGAATTCTTCTGTCAAGGTTTCTATGAAGGAATCCCGTTTCCAATGAAGGCCTCAAGAAAGTCCAAATATTTACTTGCAGATTCTACAAAAAGAGTGTTTCATAACTGGTCTATCCAAAGAAAGGTTAACCTCAGTGAGTTGAACGCACACATCACAAAGTAGTTTCTGAGAAACATTCTGTCTAGTTTTCCTATGAAGATATTGCCTTTTCTACCATAGGCCTCAAACAGCGCTAAATATCCACCTGGAAATTCTACAAAAACTGAGTTTCAAAAGTGCTCTATTGAAAGGAAGCTTCAAGTCTGTGAGTTGAATGTACACATCACAAAGTAGTTTCTGAGAATTCTTCTGTCTAGTTGTAAATGAAGAAATCACGTTTCAAACGAAGGCTACAAAGAGGTCCAAATATCCACCTGCAGATTCTGCAAAAAGAGGGTTTCAAAACTGCTCCATCAAGAGGAATGTTCAACTCTGTGCGTTGAATGCAAATATCACAAATAAGTTTCTGACAATACTTCCGTCTAGTTTTTATGTGAAGATATTTCCTTTCCTACTGTAGGTCTCAAAACGCTCTAAAGAGACACTTGCAAATTCCACAAAAAGAGGGTGTCAAAACTGCTCTATCAAAGTAAGTTTAAACTCTGTAAGCTGAATGCAAGCATCACAAAACAGCTTCGGAGAATGAATCTGCCTAGTTTTTCTGTGAAGATATTTCTTTTTCTGCCATAGACCTCAAACCGCTGTGAAAATCCACTTGGAAATCCTACAAAAAGAGTATGTCAAAACACTTCTAGCGAAAGGAAGTTTCAACTCCATGGGTTAAATGCACATACCACAAATAATTTTCTGAGGATTCTTCTTTCAAGTTTTATCTGAAGAAATCCCGTTTCCAAAGATGGCCTCAGATAAGTCCCAATATACACTTGCAGATTCTACAAAAAGAGTTTTTCAAAACTGCTCTATCAAAAGAAAGGTTAAACTCTGTGAGTTGAAGGCACACATCACAAAGTAGCTTCTGAGAATCATTCTGTCTAGTTTTTCTATGAAGATGTTGCCTTTTCCACCATAGGCCTCAAACGGCGCTAAATATCCAATTGGAAATTCTACAAAAAGAGAGTTACAAAACTGCTCTATCGAAAGGAAGCTTCAGCTCCGCGAGTTGAAAGCACACATCGCGAAGAAGGTGATGAGAATTCTTCTGTCTACTTTTGTATGAATCAGTCACGTCTCAAACGAAGGCCTCAAAGAGGTCCAAATATCCACTTGGAGATTCAACAAAAAGAGTTTTTCAAAACTGCTCCATCAAGAGGAATATTCAACTCTGAGAGTTGAAGGCAGGTATCACAAAGTAGTTTCCGACAATGCTTCTGTCTAGATTTTATGTGAGGACATTCCCTTTTGTACCACAGGCCTGAAAGCACTCTAAATATAGAATTGCAAATTCCACAAAAAGAGTGTTTAAAACAGGTCGATCCAAAGAAAGGTTAAACTCTGTAAGCTGAATGCGCACATCACAAAGTAGCTTCAGAGAACAATTATGTCTAGTTTTTCTGTGAAGATATTTTCTCTTCTACTTAGGCCTGAAACCGCTCTAAATATTCACTTGGAAATTCTACAAATGAATATTTCAACCCTCTTCTATCAAAAGGAAGGTTGAACTCTGAGAGTTAAATGCACACATCACAGAGAAGTTTCTGGGAATTCTTCTGTCAAGGTTTATATGAAGAAACCCCGTTTCCAATGAAGGCCTCAAAAAAGTCCAAATATTTACTTGCAGATTCTACAAAAAGAGTGTTTCATAACTGGTCTATCAAAAGAAAGGTTAAACTCAGTGAGTTGAACCCACACATCACAAGGTAGCTTCTGAGAATCATTGTGTCTAGTTCTCCTACGATGATATTGCCTTTTCTACCATAGGCCTCAAACGGCGCTAAATATCCACCTGGAAATTCTACCAAAACTGAGCTTCAAAAGTGCTCTATTGAAAGGAAGCTCCACCTCTGTGAGTTGAAGGTACACATCAAAAAGAAGTTTCTGAGAATTCTTCTGTCTAGTTGTAAATGAAGAAATCACGTTTCAAACGAAGGCCACAAAGAGGTCCAAATATCCACCTGCAGATTCTGCAAAAAGAGTGTTTCAAAACTGCTCCATCAAGAGGAATGTTCAACTCTGTGTGTTGAATGCAAATATCACAAGTATGTTTCTGACAATACTTCTGTGTAGTTTTTATGTTAAGATATTTCCTTTCCTACTGTAGGCCTCAAAACGCTCTAAATATACACTTGCAAATTCCACAAAAAGAGTGTTTCCAAACTGCTCTATCAAAGGAAGTTTAAACTCTGTCCGCTTAATGCAAGCATCACAAAACAGCTTCGGAGAATGAATCTGCCTAGTTTTTCTGTGAAGATATTTCTTTTGCTGCCATAGACCTCAAACCGCTGTAAAAATCCACTTGGGAATTCTACAAAAAGAGTATTTCAAAACTCTTCTATCGAAAGGAAGTTTCAACTCCATGAGTTCAATGCACATATCACAAATAATTTTCTGAGGATTCTTCTTTGAAGTTTTATATGAAGAAATCCCGTTTCCAAAGATGGCCTCAGAAAAGTCCCAATACACACTTGCAGATTCTACAAAAAGAGTTTTTCAAAACTGCTCTACCAAAAGGAAGGCTAAACTCTGTGAGTTGAAGGAACACATCACAAAGTAGTTTCTGAGAATCATTCTGTCTAGTTTTTCTATGAAGATATTGCCTTTTCCACCATAGGCCTCAAACGGCGCTAAATATCCACTTGGAAATTCTACAAAAAGAGAGTTACTAAACTGCTCTATCGAAAAGAAGCTTCAACGCTGCGAGTTGAAAGCACACATCACGAAGAAGTTTATGAGAATTCTTCTGTCTACTTTTGTATGAAGCAGTCACGTTTCAAACGAAGGCCTCAAAGAGGTCCAAATATCCACTTGGAGATTCAACAAAAAGAGTTTTTCAAAACTGCTCCGTCAAGAGGAATATTCAACTCTGAGAGTTGAAGGCAGGTATCACAAAGTAGTTCCCGACAATGCGTCTGTCTAGATTTTATGTGAGGACATTCCCTTTTGTACCACAGGCCTGAAAGCACTCTAAATATAGAATTGCAAATTCCACAAAAAGAGTGTTTAAAACCGCTCGATCCAAAGAAAGGTTAAACTCTGTAAGCTGAATGCGCACATCACAAAGTAGCTTCAGAGAACAATGATGTCTAGTTTTTCTGTGAAGATATTTTCTCTTCTACATAGGCCTGAGACCGCTCTAAATATTCACTTGGAAATTCTGCAAAAAGAATATTTCAACACTCTTCTATCAAAAGGAAGGTTGAACTCTGAGAGTTAAACGCACACATCACAGAGAAGTTTCTGAGAATTCTTCTGTCAAGGTTGATATGAAGAAACCCCGTTTCCAATGAAGGCCTCAAAAAAGTCCAAATATTTACTTGCCGATTCCACAGAAAGAGTGTTTCATAACTGGTCTATCAAAAGAAAGGTTAAACTCAGTGAGTTGAACCCACACATCACAAAGTAGCTTCTGAGAATCATTGTGTCTAGTTCTCCTACGAAGATATTGCCTTTTCTACCATAGGCCTCAAATGGCGCTAAATATCCACCTGGAAATTCTACCAAAACTGAGTTTCAAAAGTGCTCTATTGAAAGGAAGCTTCACCTCTGTGAGTTGAAGGTACACATCACAAAGAAGTTTCTGAGAATTCTTCTGTCTAGTTGTAAATGAAGAAATTACGTTTCACACGAAGGCCACAAAGAGGTCCAAATATCCACTTGCAGATTCCACAAAAAGAGTGCTTCAAAACGGCTTCATCAAGAGGAATGTTCAACTCCGTGCGTTGAATGCAAATATCACAAATAAGTTTCTGACAATACTTCTGTCTAGTTTTTAGGTGAAGATATTTCCTTTCCTACTGTAGGCCTCAAAACGCTCTAAAGAGACACTTGCAAATTCCACAAAAAGAGTTTTTCAAAACTTCTCTATCAAAGGAAGTTTAAACTCTGTCAGCTGAATGCAAGCATCACAAAGCAGCTTCGGAGAATGAATCTGCCTAGTTTTTCTGTGAAGATATTTCTTTTTCTGCCATAGACCTCAAACCGCTGTAAAAATCCACTTGGAAATTCTACAAAAAGAGTATTTCAAAGCTCTTCTATCGAAAGGAAGTTTCAGCTCCATGAGTTAAATACACATATCACAAATAATTTTCTGAGGATTCTTCTTTCAAGTTTTATATGAAGAAATCCCGTTTCCAAAGTTGGCCTCAGAAAAGTCCCAATATACACTTGCAGATTCTACAAAAAGTGTTTTTCAAAACTGCTCTATCAAAAGGAAGGTTAAACTCTGTGAGTTGAAGGCACACATCACAGAGTAGTTTCTGAGAATCATTCTGTCTAGTTTTTCTATGAAGATATTGCCTTTTCCACCATAGGCCTCAAACGGCGCTAAATATCCCCTTGGAAATTCTACAAAAAGAGAGTTACAAGACTGCTCTGTCGAAAGGAAGCTTCAACTCAGCGAGTTGAAAGCACAAATCACGACGAAGTTTATGAGAGTTCTTCTGTCTAGTTTTGTATGAAGAAGTCACGTTTCAAACGAGGGCCACAAAGAGGTCCAAATGTCCACTTGGAGATTCAACAAAAAGAGTTTTTCAAAACTGCTCCATCAAGAGGAATATTCAACTCTGAGGGTTGAAGGCAGGTATCACAAAGTAGTTTCCGACAATGCTTCTGTCTAGATTTTATGTGAAGACATTCCCTTTTGTACCAGAGGCCTGAAAGCACTCTAAAGATAGAATAGCAAATTCCACAAAAAGAGGGTTTAAAACCGCTCTATCCAACGAAAGGTTAAACTCTGTCAGCTGAATGCGCACATCACAGAGTAGCTTCAGAGAACAATTATGTCTAGTTTTTCTGTGAAGATAGTTTCTCTTCTACATAGGCCTGAAACCGCTCTAAATATTCACTTGGAAATTCTACAGAAAGAATACTATAACACTCTTCTATCAAAAGGAAGTTTGAACTCTGAGAGTTAAATGCACACACCACAGAGAAGTTTCTGGGAATTCTTCTGTCAAGGTTTATATGAAGAAACCCCGTTTCCAATGAAGGCCTCAAAAAAGTCCAAAAATTTACTTGCAGATTCCACAAAAAGAGTGTTTCATAACTGGTCTATCAAAAGAAAGGTTAAACTCAGTGAGTTGAACCCACACATCACAATGTACCTTCTGAGAATCATTCTGTCTAGTTCTCCTACGAAGATATTGCCTTTTCTACCATAGGCCTCAAACGGCGCTAAATATCCACCTGGAAATTCTACCAAAACTGAGTTTCAAAAGTGCTCTATTGAAAGGAAGCTTCACCTCTGTGGGTTGAAGGTACACATCACAAAGAAGTTTCTGAGAATTCTTCTGTCTAATTGTAAATGAAGAAATCACGTTTCACATGAAGGCCACAAAGAGGTCCAAATATCCACTTGCAGATTCCACAAAAAGAGTGCTTCAAAACGGCTCCATCAAGAGGAATGTTCAACTCCGTGTGTTGAATGCAAATATCACAAATAAGTTTCTGACAATACTTCTGTGTAGTTTTTATGTGAAGATATTTCCTTTCCTACTGTAGGCCTCAAAACGCTCTAAATATACACTTGCAAATTCCACAAAAAGAGTGTTTCCAAACTGCTCTATCAAAGGAAGTTTAAACTCTGTCCGCTTAATGCAAGCATCACAAAACAGCTTCGGAGAATGAATCTGCCTGCTTTTTCTGTAAAGATATTCCTTTTTCTGCCATAGACCTCAAACCGCTGTAAAAATCCACTTGGAAATTCTACAAAAAGAGTATTTCAAAACTCTTCTATCGAAAGGAAGTCTGAACTCCATGAGTTAAATGCACATATCACAAATAATTTTCTGAGGATTCTTCTTTCAAGTTTTATATGAAGAAATCCCGTTTCCAAAGATGGCCTCTGAAAAGTCCCAATATACACTTGCAGATTCTACAAAAAGAGTTTTTCAAAACTGCTCTATCAAAAGGAAGGTTAAACTCTGTGAGTTGAAGGCACACATCACAGAGTAGTTTCTGAGAATCATTCTGTCTAGTTTTTCTATGAAGATATTGTGTTTTCTACCATAGGCCTCAAACAGCTCTAAATATCCACTTGGAAATTCGAAAAAAAGGGTTTCAAAACTGCTGTATCGAATTGAAGGTTCAAATCTGTGAGTTGAAAGCACACATCACAAAGAAGTTTCTTAGACTTCTTCTGTCTACTTTTGTATGAAGCAGTCACGTTTCAAACGAAGGCCACAAAGAGGTCCAAATATCCACTTGGAGACTCAACAAAAAGAGTTTTTCAAAACTGCTCCATCAAGAGGAATATTCAACTCTGAGAGTTGAAGGCAGGTATCCCAAAGTAGTTCCCGACAATGCTTCTGTCTCGATTTTATGTGAAGACATTCCCTTTTGTACCACAGGCCTGAAAGCACTCTAAATATAGAATTGCAAATTCCACAAAAAGAGTGTTTAAAACCGCTCTATCCAAAGAAAGGTTCAACTCTGTCAGCTGAAGGCGCACATCACAAAGTAGCTTCAGAGAACAATTATGTCTAGTTTTTCTGTGAAGATAGTTTCTCTTCTACATAGGCCTGAAACCGCTCTAAATATTCACTTGGTAATTCTACAAAAAGAATATTTCAACACTCTTCTATCAAAAGGAAGGTTGAACTCTGAGAGTTAAACGCACACATCACAGAGAAGTTTCTGAGAATTCTTCTGTCAAGGTTTATATGAAGAAACCCCGTTTCCAAAGAAGGCCTCAAAAAAGTCCAAATATTTACTTGCCGATTCCACAGAAAGAGTGTTTCATAACTGGTCTATCAAAAGAAAGGTTAAACTCAGTGAGTTGAACCCACACATCACAAAGTAGCTTCTGAGAACAATTCTGTCTAGTTCTCCTACGAAGATATTGCCTTTTCTACCATAGGCCTCAAACGGCGCTAAATATCCACCTGGAAATTCTACCAAAACTGAGTTTCAAAAGTGCTCTATTGAAAGGAAGCTTCACCTCTGTGAGTTGAAGGTACACATCACTAATAAGTTTCTGAGAATTCTTCTGTCTAGTTGTAAATGAACAAATCACGTTTCACACGAAGGCCACAAAGAGGTCCAAATATCCACTTGCAGATTCTACAAAAAGAGTGTTTCAAAACGGCTCCATCAAGAGGAATGTTCAACTCTGTGCGTTGAATGCAGATATCACAAATAAGTTTCTCACAATACTTCTGTCTAGTTTTTAGGTGAAGATATTTCCTTTCCTACTGCAGGCCTCAAAACGCTCTAAATATACACTTGCAAATTCCACAAAAAGTGTGTTTGAAAACTGCTCTATCAAAGGAAGTTTAAACTCTGTCAGCTGAATGCAAGCGTCACAAAACAGCTTTGGAGAATGGATCTGCCTAGTTTTTCTGTGAAGATATTCCTTTTGCAGCCATAGACCTCAAACCGCTGTAAAAATCCACTTGGATATTCTACAAAAAGAGTATTTCAAAACTCTTCTATCGAAAGGAAGTTTCAACTCCATGAGTTAAATGCACATATCACAAATAATTTTCTGAGGATTCTTCTTTCAAGTTTTATCTGAAGAAATCCCGTTTCCAAAGATGGCCTCAGAAAAGTCCCAATATACACTTGCAGATTCTACAAAAAGAGTTTTTCAAAACTGCTCTATCAAAAGAAAGGTTAAACTCTGTGAGTTGAAGGCACACATCACAAAGTAGTTTCTGAGAATCATTCTGTCTAGTTTTTCTATGAAGATATTGCCTTTTCCACCATAGGCCTCAAACGGCGCTAAATATCCACTTGGAAATTCTACAAAAAGAGAGTTACAAAACTGCTCTATCGAAAGGAAGCTGCAACTCTGCGAGTTGAAAGCACACATCGCGAAGAAGTTGGTGAGAATTCTTCTGTCTACTTTTGTATGAAGCGGTCACGTTTCAAACGAAGGCCACAAAGAGGTCCAAATATCCACTTGGAGATTCAACAAAAAGAGTTTTTCAAAACTGCTCCATCAAGAGGAATACTCAACTCTGAGAGTTGAAGGCAGGTATCCCAAAGTAGTTCCCGACAATGCTTCTGTCTAGATTTTATGTGAAGACATTCCCTTTTGTACCACAGGCCTGAAAGCACTCTAAATATAGAATTGCAAATTCCACAAAAAGAGTGTTGAAAACCGCTCTATCCAAAGAAAGGTTAAACTCTGTCAGCTGAATGCGCACATCACAGAGGAGCTTCAGAGAACAATTATGTCTAGTTTTTCCGTGAAGATAGTTTCTCTTCTACATAGGCCTGAGACCGCTCTAAATATTCACGTGGAAATTCTGCAAAAAGAATATTTCAACACTCTTCTATCAAAAGGAAGGTTGAACTCTGAGAGTTAAACGCACACATCACAGAGAAGTTTCTGAGAATTCTTTTGTCAAGGTTTATATGAAGAAACCCCGTTTCCAATGAAGGCCTCAAAGAAGTCCAAATATTTACTTGCCGATTCCACAGAAAGAGTGTTTCATAACTGGTCTATCAAAAGAAAGGTTAAACTCAGTGAGTTGAACCCACACATCACAAAGTAGCTTCTGAGAATCATTCTGTCTAGTTCTCCTACGAAGATATTGCCTTTTCTACCATAGGCCTCAAACGGCGCAAAATATCCACCTGGAAATTCTACCAAAACTGAGTTTCAAAAGTGCTCTATTGAAAGGAAGCTTCACCTCTGTGGGTTGAAGGTACACATCACAAAGAAGTTTCTGAGAATTCTTCTGTCTAGTTGTAAATGAAGAAATCACGTTTCAAACGAAGGCCACAAAGAGGTCCAAATATCCACCTGCAGATTCTACAAAAAGAGGGTTTCAAAACTGCTCCATCAAGAGGAATGTTCAACTCTGTGCGTTGAATGCAAATATCACAAGTAAGTTTCTGACAATACTTCTGTCTAGTTTTTATGTGAAGATATTTCCTTTCCTACTGTAGGCCTCAAAACGCTCTAAATATACACTTGCAAATTCCACAAAAAGAGTGTTTCCAAACTGCTCTATCAAAGGAAGTTTAAACTCTGTCAGCTTAATGCAAGCATCACAAAACAGCTTCGGAGAATGAATCTGCCTAGTTTTTCTGTGAAGATATTTCTTTTTCTGCCATAGACCTCAAACCGCTGTGAAAATCCACTTGGAAATCCTACGAAAAGAGTATGTCAAAACTCTTCTATCGAAAGGAAGTTTCAACTCCATGAGTTAAATGCACATACCACAAATAATTTTCTGAGGATTCTTCTTTCAAGTTTTATATGAAGAAATCCCGTTTCCAAAGTTGGCCTCAGAAAAGTCCCAATATACACTTGCAGATTCTACAAAAAGAGTTTTTCAAAACTGCTCTATCAAAAGGAAGGTTAAACTCTGTGAGTTGAAGGCACACATCACAGAGTAGTTTCTGAGAATCATTCTGTCTAGTTTTTCTATGAAGATATCGCCTTCTCCACCATAGGCCTCAAGCGGCGCTAAATATCCACTTGGAAATTCTACAAAAAGAGAGTTACAAGACTGCTCTATTGAAAGGAAGCTTCAACTCTGCGAGTTGAAAGAACACATCACGAAGAAGTTTATGAGAATTCTTCTGTCTACTTTTGTATGAAGAAGTCACGTCTCAAACGAAGGCCACAAAGAGGTCCAAAAATCTACTTGGAGATTCAACAAAAAGAGTTTTTCAAAACTGCTCCATCAAGAGGAACATTCAACTCTGAGAGTTGAAGGCAGGTATCACAAAGTAGTTTCCGACAATGCTTCTGTCTAGATTTTATGTGAAGACATTCCCTTTTGTACCACAGGCCTGAAAGCACTCTAAATATAGAATTGCAAATTCCACAAAAGAATGTTTAAAACCGCTCTATCCAAAGAAAGGTTAAACTCTGTCAGCTGAATGCGCACATCTCAGAGCAGCTTCAGAGAACAATTATGTCTAGTTTTTCTGTGAAGATATTTTCTCTTCTACATAGGCCTGAAACCGCTCTAAATATTCACTTGGAAATTCTACAAAAAGAATGTTTCAACACTCTTCTATCAAAAGGAAGGTTGAACTCTGAGAGTTAAACGCACACATCACAGAGAAGTTACTGAGAATTCTTCTGTCAAGGTTTATATGAAGAAACCCCGTTTCCAATGAAGGCCTCAAAAAAGTCCAAAAATTTACTTGCAGATTCCACAGAAAGAGTGTTTCATAACTGGTCTATCAAAAGAAAGGTTAAACTCAGTGAGTTGAACCCACACATCACAAAGTAGCTTCTGATAATCATTCTGTCTAGTTCTCCTACGAAGATATTGCCTTTTCTACCATAGGCCTCAAACGGCGCTAAATATCCACCTGAAAATTCTACCAAAACTGAGCTTCAAAAGTGCTCTATTGAAAGGAAGCTTCACCTCTGTGAGTTGAAGGTACACATCACAGAGAAGTTTCTGAGAATTCTTCTCTCTAGTTTTATATGAAGAAATCACGTTTTCAAACGAAGGCCACAAAGAGGTCCAAATATCCATTTGCACATTCCACAAAAAGAGTGTTTCAAAACTCCTCTATCAAGAGCAATGTTCAACTCTGTGAGTTGAATGCAAATATCACAAAATCGTTTCTGACAATCTCTGTCTAGTTTTTATGTGAAGATATTTCCTTTTCGACCATAGGCCTCAAAGCACTCTAAATATTTGCACTTGCAAATTCCACAAATGTAGTGTTTCAAAACTGCTCTATCAAAAGAAAATTTAAACTCTGTGAGTTGA
Source organism: Homo sapiens (assembly GCF_000001405.40). NCBI lineage: Eukaryota > Metazoa > Chordata > Mammalia > Primates > Hominidae > Homo > Homo sapiens. Next base: position 91,215,781 of record NC_000003.12, on the reverse strand, counting down.
ATGCACACATCACAAAGTAGATTCTGAGAATCATTCTGCCTAGTTTTTCTGTGAAGATATATCTTTTGCTGCCATAGACCTCAAACCGCTGTAAAAATCCACTTGGAAATTCTACAAAAAGAGTATTTCAAAACTCTTCTATCGAAAGGAAGTTTCAACTCCATGAGTTAAATGCACATATCACAAATAATTTTCTGAGGATTCTTCTTTCAAGTTTTATATGAAGAAATCCCGTTTCCAAAGATGGCCTCAGAAAAGTCCCAATATACACTTGCAGATTCTACAAAAAGAGTTTTTCAAAACTGCTCTACCAAAAGGAAGGTTAAACTCTGTGAGTTGAAGTCACACATCACAAAGTAGTTTCTGAGAATCATTCTGTCTAGTTTTTCTATGAAGATATTGCCTTTTCCACCATTGGCCTCAAACGGCGCTAAATATCCACTTGGAAATTCTACAAAAAGAGAGTTACAGAACTGCTCTATCGAAAGGAAGCTTCAACGCTGCGAGTTGAAAGCACACATCACGAAGAAGTTGATGAGAATTCTTCTGTCTACTTTTGTATGAAGCAGTCACGTTTCAAACGAAGGCCACGAAGAGGTCCAAATATCCACTTGGAGATTCAACAAAAAGAGTTTTACAAAACTGCTCCATCAAGAGGAATATTCAACTCTGAGAGTTGAAGGCAGGTATCACAAAGTAGTTCCCGACAATGCTTCTGTCTAGATTTTATGTGAAGACATTCCCTTTTGTACCACAGGCCTGAAAGCACTCTAAATATAGAATTGCAAATTCCACAAAAAGAGTGTTGAAAACCGCTCTATCCAAAGAAAGTTTAAACTCTGTCAGCTGAATGCGCACATCACAGAGCAGCTTCAGAGAACAATTATGTCTAGTTTTTCTGTGAAGATATTTTCTCTTCTACTTAGGCCTGAATCCGCTCTAAATATTCACTTGGAAATTCTACAAAAAGAAAATTTCAACCCTCTTCTATCAAAAGGAAGGTTGAACTCTGAGAGTTAAATGCACACATCACAGAGAAGTTTCTGGGAATTCTTCTGTCAAGGTTTATATGAAGAAACCCCGTTTCTAATGAAGGCCTCAAAAAAGTCCAAATATTTACTTGCAGATTCCACAAAAAGAGTGTTTCATAACTGGTCTATCAAAAGAAAGGTTAAACTCAGTGAGTTGAACCCACACATCACAAAGTAGCTTCTGAGAATCATTGTGTCTTGTTCTCCTACGAAGATATTGCCTTTTCTACCATAGGCCTCAAACGGCGCTAAATATCCACCTGGAAATTCTACCAAAACTGAGCTTCAAAAGTGCTCTATTGAAAGGAAGCTTCACCTCTGTGAGTTGAAGGTACACATCACAAAGAAGTTTCTGAGAATTCTTCTGTCTAGTTGTAAATGAAGAAATCACGTTTCAAACGAAGGCCACAAAGAGATCCAAATATCCACCTGCAGATTCTGCAAAAAGAGTGTTTCAAAACTGCTCCATCAAGAGGAATGTTCAACTCTGTGCGTTGAATGCAAATATCACAAGTAAGTTTCTGACAATACTTCTGTGTAGTTTTTATGTGAAGATATTTCCTTTCCTACTGTAGGCCTCAAAACGCTCTAAAGATACACTTGCAAATTCCACAAAAAGAGTGTTTCCAAACTGCTCTATCAAAGGAAGTTTAAACTCTGTCCGCTTAATGCAAGCATCACAAAACAGCTTCGGAGAATGAATCTGCCTAGTTTTTCTGTGAAGATATTTCTTTTTCTACCATAGACCTCAAACCGCTGTAAAAATCCACTTGGAAATTCTACAAAAAGAGTATTTCAAAGCTCTTCTATCGAAAGGAAGTTTCAGCTCCATGAGTTAAATGCACATATCACAAATAATTTTCTGAGGATTCTTCTTTCAAGTTTTATATGAAGAAATCCCGTTTCCAAAGATGGCCTCAGAAAAGTCCCAATATACACTTGCAGATTCTACAAAAAGAGTTTTTCAAAACTGCTCTATCAAAAGGAAGATTAAACTCTGTGAGTTGAAGGCACACATCACAGAGTAGTTTCTGAGAATCATTCTGTCTAGTTTTTCTATGAAGATATTGCCTTTTCCACCATAGGCCTCAAACGGCGCTAAGTATCCACTTGGAAATTCTACAAAAAGAGAGTTACTAAACTGCTCTATCGAAAGGAAGCTTCAACGCTGCGAGTTGAAAGCACACATCACGAAGAAGTTTATGAGAATTCTTCTGTCCAGTTTTGTATGAAGCAGTCACGTCTCAAACGAAGGCCACAAAGAGGTCCAAATATCCACTTGGAGATTCAACAAAAAGAGTTTTTCAAAACTGCTCCATCAAGAGGAATATTCAACTCTGAGAGTTGAAGGCAGGTATCACAAAGTAGTTTCCGACAATGCTTCTGTCTAGATTTTATGTGAAGACATTCCCTTTTGTACCACAGGCCTGAAAGCACTCTAAGTATAGAATTGCAATTTCCAAAAAAAAGAGTGTTTAAAACCGCTCTATCCAAAGAAAGGTTAAACTCTGTCAGCTGAATGCGCACATCACAGAGCAGCTTCAGAGAACAATTATGTCTAGTTTTTCTGTGAAGATATTTTCTCTTCTACTTAGGCCTGAAACCGCTCTAAATATTCACTTGGAAATTCTACAAAAAGAATATTTCAACCCTCTTCTATCAAAAGGAAGGTTGAACTCTGAGAGTTAAATGCACACATCACAGAGAATTTTCTGGGAATTCTTCTGTCAAGGTTTATATGAAGACACCACGTTTCCAAAGAAGGCCTCAAAAATGTCCAAAGATTTACTTGCAGATTCTACAAAAAGAGTGTTTCATAAACTGGTCTATCAAAAGAAAGGTTAAACTCAGTGAGTTGAACCCACACATCACATAGTAGCTTCTGAGAATCTTTGTGTCTAGTTCTCCTACGAAGATATTGCCTTTTCTACCATAGGCCTCAAACGGCGCAAAATATCCACCTGGAAATTCTACCAAAACTGAGTTTCAAAAGTGCTCTATTGAAAGGAAGCTTCACCTCTGTGAGTTGAAGGTACACATCACAAAGGAGTTTCTGAGAATTCTTCTGTCTAGTTGTAAATGAAGAAATCACGTTTCACACGAAGGCCACAAAGAGGTCCAAATATCCACTTGCAGATTCCACAAAAAGAGTGCTTCAAAACGGCTCCATCAAGAGGAATGTTCAACTCCATGCGTTGAATGCAAATATCACAAATAAGTTTCTGACAATACTTCTGTCTAGTTTTTAGGTGAAGATATTTCCTTTCCTACTGCAGGCCTCAAAACGCTCTAAATATACACTTGCAAATTCCACAAAAAGAGTGTTTGAAAACTGCTCTATCAAAGGAAGTTTAAACTCTGTCAGCTGAATGCAAGCGTCACAAAACAGCTTCGGAGAATGGATCTGCCTAGTTTTTCTGTGAAGATATTTCTTTTTCTGCCATAGACCTCAAACCGCTGTAAAAATCCACTTGGAAATTCTACAAAAAGAGTATTTCAAAACTCTTCTATCAAAAGGAAGTCTCAACTCCATGAGTTAAATGCACATATCACAAATAATTTTCTGAGGATTCTTCTTTCAAGTTTTATATGAAGAAATCCCGTTTCCAAAGATGGCCTCAGAAAACTCATAATATACACTTGCAGATTCTACAAAAAGAGTTTTTCAAAACTGCTCTACCAAAAGGAAGGTTAAACTCTGTGAGTTGAAGACACACATCACAGAGTAGTTTCTGAGAATCATTCTGTCTAGTTTTTCTATGAAGATATTGCCTTTTCCACCATAGGCCTCAAACGGCGCTAAATATCCACTTGGAAATTTTACAAAAAGAGAGTTACAAGACTGCTCTATTGAAAGGAAGCTTCAACTCTGCGAGTTGCAAGCACACATCCCAAAGAAGTTTATGAGAATTCTTCTGTCTACTTTTGTATGAAGAAGTCACGTCTCAAACGAAGGCCACAAAGAGGTCCAAATATCCACTTGGAGATTCAACCAAAGGAGTTTTTCAAAACTGCTCCATCAAGAGGAATATTCAATTCTGAGAGTTGAAGGCAGGTATCACAAAGTAGTTTCCGACAATGCTTCTGTCTAGATTTTATGTGAAGACATTCCCTTTTGTACCACAGGCCTGAAAGCACTCTAAACATAGAATTGCAAATTCCACAAAAAGAGTGTTGAAAACCGCTCTATCCAAAGAAAGGTTAAACTCTGTCAGCTGAATGCGCACATCACAGAGCAGCTTCAGAGAACAGTTATGTCTAGTTTTTCTGTGAAGATATTTTCTCTTCTACATAGGCCTGAAACCGCTCTAAATATTCACTTGGAAATTCTACAAAAAGAATATTTCAACCCTCTTCTATCAAAAGGAAGGTTGAACTCTGAGAGTTAAATGCACACATCACAGAGAAGTTTCTGGGAATTCTTTTGTCAAGGTTTATATGAAGAAACCCCGTTTCCAATGAAGGCCTCAAAAAAGTCCAAATATTTACTTGCAGATTCCACAGAAAGAGTGTTTCATAACTGGTCTATCAAAAGAAAGGTTAAACTCAGTGAGTTGAACCCACACATCACAAATTAGCTTCTGAGAATCATTCTGTCTAGTTCTCCTACGAAGATATTGCCTTTTCTACCATAGGCCTCAAACGGCCCTAAATATCCACCTGGAAATTCGACCAAAACTGAGTTTCAAAAGTGCTCTATTCAAAGGAACTTTCACCTCTGTCAGTTGAAGGTACACATCACAAAGAAGTTTCTGAGAATTCTTCTGTCTAGTTGTAAATGCAGAAATCACGTTTCAAACGAAGGCCACAAAGAGGTCCAAATATCCAGCTACAGATTCTGTAAAAAGAGGGTTTGAAAACTGCTCCATCAAGAGGAATGTTCAACTCTGTGCGTTGAACGCAAATATCACAAATAAGTTTCTGACAATACTTCTGTCTAGCTTTTATGTGAAGATATTTCCTTTCCTACTGTAGGCCTCAAAACGCTCTAAATATACACTTTCAAATTCCACAAAAAGAGTGTTTCCAAACTGCTCTATCAAAGGAAGTTTAAACTCTGTCAGCTTAATGCAAGCATCACAAAACAGCTTCGGAGAATGAATCTGCCTTGTTTTTCTGTGAAGATATTTCTTTTTCTGCCATAGACCTCAAACCGCTGTAAAAATCCACTTGGAAATTCTACAAAAAGAGTATTTCAAAACTCTTCCATCGAAAGGAAGTTTCAACTCCATGAGTTAAATGCACATATCACAAATAATTTTCTGAGGATTCTTCTTTCAAGTTTTATATGAAGAAATCCCGTTTCCAAAGATGGCCTCAGAAAATTCCCAATATACACTTGCAGATTCTACAAAAAGAGTTTTTCAAAACTGCTCTATCAAAAGAAAGGTTAAACTCTGTGAGTTGAAGGCACACATCACAAAGCAGTTTCTGAGAATCATTCTGTCTAGTTCTCCTACGAAGATATTGCCTTTTCTACCATAGGCCTCAAACGGCGCTAAATATCCACCTGGAAATTCTACAAAAAGAGAGTTACTAAACTGCTCTATCGAAAGGAAGCTTCAACGCTGCGACTTGAAAGCACACATCACGAAGAAGTTTATGAGAATTCTTCTGTCTACTTTTGTATGAAGAAGTCACGTCTCAAACGAAGGCCACAAAGAGGTCCAAATATCCACTTGGAGATTCAACAAAAAGAGTTTTTCAAAACTGCTCCATCAAGAGGAACATTCAACTCTGAGAGTTGAAGGCAGGTATCACAAAGTAGTTTCCGACAATGCTTCTGTCTAGATTTTATGTGAAGACATTCCCTTTCGTACCACAGGCCTGAAAGCACTCTAAATATAGAATTGCAAATTCCACAAAAAGAGTGTTTAAATCCGATCTATCCAAAGAAAGCTTAAACTCTGTCAGCTGAATGCGCACATCACAGAGTGGCTTCAGAGAACAATTATGTCTAGTTTTTCTGTGAAGATATTTTCTCTTCTACATAGGCCTGAAACCGCTCCAAATATTCACTTGGAAATTCTTCAAAAGGAATATTTCAACCCTCTTCTATCAAAAGGAAGGATGCACTCTGAGAGTTAAACGCACACATCACAGAGAAGTGTCTGAGAATTCTTCTGTAAAGGTTTGTATGAAGAAACCCCGTTTCCAATGAAGGCCTCAAAAAAGTCCAAATATTTACTTGCAGATTCCACAAAAAGAGTGTTTCATAACTGGTCTATCAAAAGAAAGGTGAAACTCAGTGAGTTGAACCCACACATCACAAAGTAGATTCTGAGAATCATTCTGTCTAGTTTTTCTACGAAGATATTGCCTTTTCCACCATAGGCCTCAAACGGCGCTAAATATCCACCTGGAAATTCTACAGAAACTGAGTTTCAAAAGTGCTCTATTGAAAGGAAGCTTCAACTCTGTGAGTTGAAAGTACACATCACAAAGAAGTTTCTGAGAATTCTTCTGTCTAGTTGTAAATGAAGAAAGCAAGTTTCACACGAAGGCCACAAAGAGGTCCAAATATCCACTTGCAGATTCCACATAAAGAGTGCTTCAAAACGGCTCCATCAAGAGGAATGTTCAACTCCGTGCGTTGAATGCAAATATCACAAATAAGTTTCTGACAATACTTCTGTCTAGTTTTTAGGTGAAGATATTTCCTTTCCTACTGTAGGCCTCAAAACGCTCTAAATAGACACTTGCAAATTCCACAAAAAGAGTGTTTCCAAACTGCTCTATCAAAGGAAGTTTAAACTCTGTCAGCTGAATGCAAGCATCACAAAACAGCTTCGGAGAATGAATCTGCCTAGTTTTTCTGTGAAGATATTTCTTTTGCTGCCATAGACCTCAAACTGCTGTAAAAATCCACTTGGGAATTCTACAAAAAGAGTATTTCAAAACTCTTCTATCGAAAGGAAGTTTCAACTCCATGAGTTAAATGCACATATCACAAATAATTTTCTGAGGATTCTTCTTTCAAGTTTTATAGGAAGAAATCCCGTTTCCAAAGATGGCCTCAGAAAAGTCCCAATATACACTTGCAGATTCTACAAAAAGAGTTTTTCAAAACTGCTCTATCAAAAGAAAGGTTAAACTCTGTGAGTTGAAGGCACACATCACAAAGTAGTTTCTGAGAATCATTCTGTCTAGTTTTTCTATGAAGATATTGCCTTTTCCACCATAGGCCTCAAATGGCGTTAAATATCCACTTGGAAATTCTACAAAAAGAGAGTTACTAAACTGCTCTATCGAAAGGAAGCTTCAACGCTGCGAGTTGAAAGCACACATCACGAAGAAGTTTATGAGAATTCTTCTGTCCAGTTTTGTATGAAGCAGTCGCGTTTCAAACGAAGGCCACAAAGAGGTCCAAATATCCACTTGGAGATTCAACAAAAAGAGTTTTTCAAAACTGCTCCATCAAGAGGAATATTCAACTCTGAGAGTTGAAGGCAGGTATCACAAAATAGTTTCCGACAATGCTTCTGTCTAGATTTTAAGTGAGGACATTCCCTTTTGTACCACAGGCCTGAAAGCACTCTAAATATAGAATTGCAAATTCCACAAAAAGAGTGTTTAAAACCGCTCGATCCAAAGAAAGGTTAAACTCTGTAAGCTGAATGCGCACATCACAAAGTAGCTTCAGAGAACTATTATGTCTAGTTTTTCTGTGACGATATTTTCTCTTCTACTTAGGCCTGAAACCGCTCTAAATATTCACTTGGAAATTCTACAAAAAGAAAATTTCAACCCTCTTCTATCAAAATGATGGTTGAACTCTGAGAGTTAAATGCACACATCACAGAGAAGTTTCTCGGAATTCTTCTGTCAAGGTTTGTATGAAGAGATCCCGTTTCCAATGAAGGCCTCAAAAAAGTCCAAATATTTACTTGCAGATTCTACAAAAAGAGTGTTTCATAACTGGTCTATCAAAAGAAAGGTTAAACTCCGTGAGTTGAACGCACACATCACAAAGTTGTTTCTGAGAATCATTCTGTCTAGTTTTTCTACGAAGATATTGCCTTTTCCACCATAGGCCTCAAACGGCGCTAAATATCCACCTGGAAATTCTACAGAAACTGAGTTTCAAAAGTGCTCTATTGAAAGGAAGCTTCAACTCTGTGAGTTGAAAGTACACATCACAAAGAAGTTTCTGAGAATTCTTCTGTCTAGTTGTAAATGAAGAAAGCAAGTTTCACACGAAGGCCACAAAGAGGTCCAAATATCCACTTGCAGATTCCACAAAAAGAGTGCTTCAAAACGGCTCCATCAAGAGGAATGTTCAACTCCGTGCGTTGAATGCAAATATCACAAATAAGTTTCTGACAATACTTCTGTGTAGTTTTTATGTGAAGATTTTTCCTTTCCTACTGTAGGCCTCAAAACGCTCTAAAGATACACTTGCAAATTCCACAAAAAGAGTGTTTCCAAACTGCTCTATCAAAGGAAGTTTAAACTCTGTCCGCTTAATGCAAGCATCACAAAACAGCTTCGGAGAATGAATCTGCCTAATTTTTCTGTGAAGATATTTCTTTTTCTGCCATAGACCTCAAACCGCTGTAAAAATCCACTTGGAAATTCTACAAAAAGAGTATTTCAAAGCTCTTCTATCGAAAGGAAGTTTCAGCTCCATGAGCTAAATGCACATATCACAAATAATTTTCTGAGGATTCTTCTTTCAAGTTTTATATGAAGAAACCCCGTTTCCAAAGATGGCCTCAGAAAAGTCCCAATATACACTTGCAGATTCTACAAAAAGAGTTTTTCAAAACTGCTCTATCAAAAGGAAGGTTAAACTCTGTGAGTTGAAGGCACACATCACAGAGTAGTTTCTGAGAATCATTCTGTCTAGTTTTTCTATGAAGATATCGCCTTCTCCACCATAGGCCTCAAACGGCGCTAAATATCCACTTGGAAATTCTACAAAAAGAGAGTTACAAGACTGCTCTATCGAAAGGAAGCTTCAACTCTGCTAGTGGAAAGCACACATCACGAAGAAGTTTATGAGAATTCTTCTGTCTACTTTTGTATGAAGCAGTCACGTTTCAAACGAAGGCCACAAAGAGGTCCAAATATCCACTTGGAGATTCAACAAAAAGAGTTTTTCAAAACTGCTCCATCAAGAGGAATATTCAACTCTGAGAGTTGAAGACAGGTATCCCAAAGTAGTTCCCGACAATGCTTCTGTCTAGATTTTATGTGAAGACATTCCCTTTTGTACCACAGGCCTGAAAGCACTCTAAATATAAAATTGCAAATTCCACAAAAAGAGTGTTTAAAACCGCTCTATCCAAAGAAAGGTTAAACTCTGTCAGCTGAATGCGCACATCACAGACTAGCTTCAGAGAACAATTATGTCTAGTTTTTCTGTGAAGATATTTTCTCTTCTACATAGGCCTGAAACCGCTCTAAATATTCACTTGGAAATTCTACGAAAAGAATATTTCAACCCTCTTCTATCAAAAGGAAGGTTGAACTCTGAGAGTTAAATCCTCACATCACAGAGAAGTTTCTGGGAATTCTTCTGTCAAGGTTTATATGAAGAGATCCCGTTTCCAATGAAGGCCTCAAAAAAGTCCAAATATTTACTTGCAGATTCTACAAAAAGAGTGTTTCATAACTAGTCTATCAAAAGAAAGGTTAAACTCCGAGTGTTGAACGCACACATCACAAAGTTGTTTCTCAGAATCATTGTGTCTAGTTCTCCTACGAAGATATTGCCTTTTCTACCATAGGCCTCAAACGGCGCTAAATATCCACCTGGAAATTCTACCAAAACTGAGCTTCAAAAGTGCTCTATTGAAAGGAAGCTTCACCTCTGTGAGTTGAAGGTACACATCACAAAGAAGTTTCTGAGAATTCTTCTGTCTAGTTGTAAATGAAGAAATCACGTTTCAAACGAAGGCCACAAAGAGGTCCAAATATCCAGCTGCAGATTCTGCAAAAAGAGGGTTTGAAAACTGCTCCATCAAGAGGAATGTTCAACTCTGTGCGTTGAATGCAAATATCACAAATAAGTTTCTGACAATATTTCTGTCTAGTTTTTATGTGAAGATATTTCCTTTCCTACTGTGGGCCTCAAAACGCTCTAAATATACACTTGCAAATTCCACAAGAAGAGTGTTTCAAAACTGCTCTATCAAAGGAACTTTAAACTCTGTAAGCTTAATGCAAGCATCACAAAACAGCTTCGGAGAATGAATCTGCCTAGTTTTTCTGTGAAGATATTTCTTTTTCTGCCATAGACCTCAAACCGCTGTGAAAATCCACTTGGAAATCCTACAAAAAGAGTATGTCAAAACTCTTCTAGCGAAAGGAAGTTTCAACTCCATGAGTTAAATGCACATACCACAAATAATTTTCTGAGGATTCTTCTTTGAAGTTTTATATGAAGAAATCCCGTTTCCAAAGATGGCCTCAGAAAAGTCCCAATATACCCTTGCAGATTCTACAAAAAGAGTTTTTCAAAACTGCTCTATCCAAAGAAAGGTTAAACTCTGTGAGTTGAAGGCAAACATCACAAAGTAGTTTCTGAGAATCATTCTGTCTAGTTTTTCTATGAAGATATTGCCTTTTCCACCACAGGCCTCAAACGGCGCTAAATATCCACTTGGAAATTCTACAAAAAGAGAGTTACAAAACTGCTCTATCGAAAGGAAGCTGCAACTCTGCGAGTTGAAAGCACACATCGCAAAGAAGTTGATGAGAATTCTTCTGTCTAGTTTTGTATGAAGAAGTCACGTCTCAAACGAAGGCCACAAAGAGGTCCAAATATCCACTTGGAGATTCAACAAAAAGAGTTTTTCAAAACTGCTCCATCAAGAGGAATATTCAACTCTGAGAGTTGAGGGCAGGTATCACAAACTAGTTTCCGACAACGCTTCTGTCTAGATTTTATGCGAAGACATTCCCTTTTGTACCACAGGCCTGAAAGCACTCTAAATATAGAATTGCAAATTCCACAAAAAGAGTGTTTAAAACCGCTCGATCAAAAGAAAGGTTAAACTCTGTCAGCTGAATGCGCACATCACAGAGCAGCTTCAGAGAACAATTGTGTCTAGTTTTTCTGTGGAGATAGTTTCTCTTCTACATAGGCCTGAAACCGCTCTAAATATTCACTTGGAAATTCTACAAAAAGAATATTTCAACACTCTTCTATCAAAAGGAAGGTTGAACTCTGAGAGTTAAACGCACACATCACAGAGAAGTTTCTGAGAATTCTTCTGTCAAGGTTTATATGAAGAAACCCCGTTTCCAATGAAGGCCTCAAAAAAGTCCAAAAATTTACTTGCAGATTCCACAAAAAGAGTGTTTCATAACTGGTCTATCAAAAGAAAGGTGAAACTCACTGAGTTGAACCCACACATCACAAAGTAGTTTCTGAGAATCATTCTGTCTAGTTTTTCTACGAAGATATTGCCTTTTCCACCATAGGCCTCAAACGGCGCTAAATATCCACCTGGAAATTCTACAGAAACTGAGTTTCAAAAGTGCTCTATTGAAAGGAAGCTTCAACTCTGTGAGTTGAAAGTACACATCACAAAGAAGTTACTGAGAATTCTTCTGTCTAGTTGTAAATGCAGAAATCACGTTTCAAACGAAGGCCACAAAGAGGTCCAAATATCCACATGCAGATTCTACAAAAAGAGTGTTTCAAAACTGCTCCATCAAGAGGAATGTTCAACTCTGTGCGTTGAATGCCAATATCACAAATAAGTTTCTGACAATACTTCTGTCTAGTTTTTATGTGAAGATATTTCCTTTCCTACTGTAGGCCCGAAAACGATCTAAATAAACACTTGCAAACTCCACAAAAAGAGTGTTTCCAAACTGCTCTATCGAAGGAAGTTTAAACTCTGTCAGCTGAATGCAAGCATCACAAAACAGCTTCGGAGAATGAATCTGCCTAATTTTTCTGTGAAGATATTTCTTTTGCTGCCATAGACCTCAAACCGCTGTAAAAATCCACTTGGAAATTCTACAAAAAGAGTATTTCAAAACTCTTCTATCGAAAGGAAGTTTCAACTCCATGAGTTAAATGCACATATCACAAATAATTTTCTGAGGATTCTTCTTTCAAGTCTTATATGAAGAAATCCCGTTTCCAAAGATGGCCTCAGAAAAGTCCCAATATACACTTGCAGATTCTACAAAAAGAGTTTTTCAAAACTGCTCTATCAAAAGAAAGGTTAAACTCTGTGAGTTGAAGGCACACATCACAAAGTAGTTTCTGAGAATCATTCTGTCTAGTTTTTCTATGAAGATATTGCCTTTTCCACCATAGGCCTCAAACGGCTCTAAATATCCACTTGGAAATTCTACAAAAAGAGGGTTACAAAACTGCTCTATCAAAAGGAAGCTTCAGCTCTGCGAGTTGAAAGCACACATCACGAAGAAGTTTATGAGAATTCTTCTGTCTACTTTTGTATGAAGCAGTCACGTCTCAAACGAAGGCCACAAAGAGGTCCAAATATCCACTTGGAGATTCAACAAAAAGAGTTTTTCAAAACTGCTCCATCAAGAGGAACATTCAACTCAGAGAGTTGAAGGCAGGTATCACAAAGTAGTTTCCGACAATGCTTCTGTCTAGATTTTATGTGAAGACATTCCCTTTTGTACCACAGGCCTGAAAGCACTCTAAATACAGAATTGCAAATTCCACAAAAAGAGGGTTTAAAACCACTCTATCCAAAGAAAGGTTAAACTCTGTCAGCTGAATGCGCACATCACAGAGTAGCTTCAGAGAACAATTATGTCTAGTTTTTCTGTGAAGATATTTTGTCTTCTACTTAGGCCTGAAACCGCTCTAAATATTCACTTGGAAATTCTACAAAAAGAATATTTCAACCCTCTTCTATCAAAGGGAAAGTTGAACTCTGAGAGTTAAATGCACACATCACAGAGAAGTTTCTGGGAATTCTTCTGTCAAGGTTTATATGAAGAAACCCCGTTTCCAATGAAGGCCTCAAAAAAGTCCAAAAATTTACTTGCAGATTCCACAAAAAGAGTGTTTCATAACTGGTCTATCAAAAGAAAGGTTAAACTCAGTGAGTTGAACCCACACATCACAAAGTAGCTTCTGAGAATCATTCTGTCTAGTTCTCCTACGAAGATATTGCCTTTTCTACCATAGGCCTCAAACGGCGCTAAATATCCACCTGGAAATTCTACCAAAACTGAGTTTCAAAACTGCTCTATTGAAAGGAAGCTTCACCTCTGTGAGTTGAAGGTACACATCACAAAGAAGTTTCTGAGAATTCTTCTGTCTAGTTGTAAATGAAGAAATCACGTTTCACACGAAGGCCACAAAGAGGTCCAAATATCCACTTGCAGATTCTACAAAAAGAGTGTTTCAAAACGGCTCCATCAAGAGGAATGTTCAACTCTGTGCGTTGAATGCAAATATCACAAATAAGTTTCTGACAATACTTTCTGTGTAGTTTTTATGTGAAGATATTTCCTTTCCTACTGTAGGCCTCAAAACGCTCTAAAGATACACTTGCAAATTCCACAAAAGAGTGTTTCCAAACTGCTCTATCAAAGGAAGTTTTAACTCTGTCCGCTTAATGCAAGCATCACAAAACAGCTTCGGAGAATGAATCTGCCTAGTTTTTCTGTGAAGATATTTCTTTTGCTGCCATAGACCTCAAACCGCTGTAAAAATCCACTTGGGAATTCTACAAAAAGAGTATTTCAAAACTCTTCTATCGAAAGGAAGTTTCAACTCCATGAGTTAAATGCACATATCACAAATAATTTTCTGAGGATTCTTCTTTCAAGTTTTATATGAAGAAATCCCGTTTCCAAAGATGGCCTCAGAAAATTCCCAATATACACATGCAGATTCTACAAAAAGAGTTTTTCAAAACTGCTCTATCAAAAGAAAGGATAACTCTGTGAGTTGAAGGCACACATCACAAAGTAGTTTCTGAGAATCATTCTGTCTAGTTTTTCTATGAAGATATTGCCTTTTCCACCATAGGCCTCAAACGGCGCTAAATATCCACTTGGAAATTCTACAAAAAGAGAGTTACCAAACTGCTCTATCGAAAGGAAGCTTCAACGCTGCGAGTTGAAAGCACACATCACGAAGATGTTTATGAGAATTCTTCTGTCTACTTTTGTATGAAGCAGTCACGTTTCAAACGAAGGCCACAAAGAGGTCCAAATATCCACTTGGAGATTCATCAAAAAGAGTTTTTCAAAACTCCTCCATCAAGAGGAATATTCAACTCTTAGAGTTGAAGGCAGGTATCCCAAAGTAGTTCCCGACAATGCTTCTGTCTAGATTTTATGTGAAGACATTCCCTTTTGTACCACAGGCCTGAAAGCACTCTAAATACAGAATTGCAAATTCCACAAAAAGAGGGTTTAAAACCACTCTATCCAAAGAAAGTTTAAACTCTGTCAGCTGAATGCGCACATCACAGAGTAGCTTCAGAGAACAATTATGTCTAGTTTTTCTGTGAAGATAGTTTCTCTTATACATAGGCCTGAAACCGCTCTAAATATTCACTTGGAAATTCTACAAAAAGAATATTTCAACACTCTTCTATCAAAAGGAAGGTTGAACTCTGAGAGTTAAACGCACACATCACAGAGAAGTTTCTGAGAATTCTTCTGTCAAGGTTTCTATGAAGAAATCCCGTTTCCAATGAAGGCCTCAAAAAAGTCCAAATATTTACTTGCAAATTCTACAAAAAGAGTGTTTCATAACTGGTCTAGTAAAAGAAAGGTTAAACTCAGTGAGTTGAACCCACACATCACAAAGTAGTTTCTGAGAATCATTCTGTCTAGTTTTCCTACGAAGATATTGCCTTTTCTACCTTAGGCCTCAAACGGCGCTAAATATCCACCTGGAAATTCTACAAAAACTGAGTTTCAAAAGTGCTCTATTGAAAGGAAGCTTCAACTCTGTGAGTTGAAGGTACACATCACAAAGAAGTTTCTGAGAATTCTTCTGTCTAGTTGTAAATGAAGAAATCACGTTTCACACGAAGGCCACAAAGAGGTCCAAATATCCACTTGCAGATTCCACAAAAAGAGTGCTTCAAAACGGCTCCATCAAGAGGAATGTTCAACTCCGTGCGTTGAATGCAAATATCACAAATAAGTTTCTGACAATACTTCTGTCTAGTTTTTATGTGAAGATATTTCCTTTCCTACTGTAGGCCTCAAAACGCTCTAAATATCCACTTGCAAATTCCACAAAGAGTGTTTCCAAACTGCTCTATCAAAGGAAGTTTAAACTTTGTCCACTTAATGCAAGCATCACAAAACAGCTTCGGAGAATGAATCTGCCTAGTTTTTCTGTGAAGATATTTCTTTTGCTGCCATAGACCTCAAACCGCTGTAAAAATCCACTTGGAAATTCTACAAAAAGAGTATTTCAAAACTCTTCTATCGAAAGGAAGTTTCAACTCCATGAGTTAAATGCACATATCACAAATAATTTTCTGAGGATTCTTCTTTCAAATTTTATATGAAGAAATCCCGTTTCCAAAGATGGCCTCAGAAAAGTCCCGAGATACACTTGCAGATTCTACAAAAAGAGTTTTTCAAAACTGCTCTATCAAAAGAAAGGTTAAACTCTGTGAGTTGAAGGCACACATCACAAAGTAGTTTCTGAGAATCATTCTGTCTAGTTTTTCTATGAAGATATTGCCTTTTCCACCATAGGCCTCAGACAGCGCTAAATATCCACTTGGAAATTCTACAAAAAGAGAGTTACTAAACTGCTGTATCGAAAGGAAGCTTCAACGCTGCGAGTTGAAAGCACACATCACGAAGAAGTTTATGAGAATTCTCCTTTCTAGTTTTGTATGAAGAAATCACGTTTCAAACGAAGGCCACAAAGAGGTCCAAATATCCACTTGGAGATTCAACAAAAAGAGTTTTTCAAAACTGCTCCATCAAGAAGAATATTCAACTCTGAGAGTTGAAGGCAGGTATCACAAAGTAGTTTCCGACAATGCTTCTGTCTAGATTTTATGTGAAGACATTCCCTTTTGTACCACAGGCCTGAAAGCACTCTAAATATAGAATTGCAAATTCCACAAAAAGAGTGTTTAAAACCGCTCTATCCAAAGAAAGGTTAAACTCTGTCAGCTGAAGGCGCCCATCACAAAGTAGCTTCAGAGAACAATTATGTCTAGTTTTTCTGTGAAGATATTTTCTATTCTACTTAGGCCTGAAACCGCTCTAAATATTCACTTGGAAATTCTACAAAAAGAATATTTCAACCCTCTTCTATCAAAAGGAAGGTTGAACTCTGAGAGTTAAATGCACACATCACAGAGAATTTTCTGGGAATTCTTCTGTCAAGGTTTATATGAAGAGATCCCGTTTCCAATGAAGGCCTCAAAAAAGTCCAAATATTTACTTGCAGATTCTACAAAAAGAGTGTTTCATAACTGGTCTATCAAAAGAAAGGTTAAACTCCGTGAGTTGAACGCACACATCACAAAGTTGTTTCTGAGAATCATTCTGTCTAGTTTTTCTACGAAGATATTGCCTTTTCCACCATAGGCCTCAAACGGCGCTAAATATCCACCTGGAAATTCTACAGAAACTGAGTTTCAAAAGTGCTCTATTGAAAGGAAGCTTCAACTCTGTGAGTTGAAAGTACACATCACAAAGAAGTTTCTGAGAATTCTTCTGTCTAGTTGTAAATGAAGAAATCACGTTTCAAACGAAGGCCACAAAGAGGTCCAAATATCCACCTGCAGATTCTGCAAAAAGAGTGTTTCAAAACTGCTCCATCAAGAGGAATGTTCAACTCTGTGCGTTGAATGCAAATATCACAAGTAAGTTTCTGACAATACTTCTGTCTAGTTTTTATGTGAAGATATTTACTTTCCTACTGTAGGCCTCAAAAGGCTCTAAATATACACTTGCAAATTCCACAAAAAGAGTGTTTCCAAACTGCTCTATCAAAGGAAGTTTAAACTCTGTCAGCTTAATGCAAGCATCACAAAACAGCTTCGGAGAATGAATCTGCCTAGTTTTTCTGTGAAGATATTTCTTTTGCTGCCATAGACCTCAAACCGCTGTAAAAATCCACTTGGGAATTCTACAAAAAGAGTATTTCAAAACTCTTCTATCGATAGGAAGTTTCAACTCCATGAGTTAAATGCACATATCACAAATAATTTTCTGAGGATTCTTCTTTCAAATTTTATATGAAGAAATCCCGTTTCCAAAGATGGCCTCAGAAAAGTCCCAATATACACTGGCAGATTCTACAAAAAGAGTTTTTCAAAACTGCTCTATCAAAAGGAAGGTTAAACTCTGTGAGTTGAAGGCACACATCACAGAGTAGTTTCTGAGAATCATTTCGGTCTAGTTTTTCTATGAAGATATTGCCTTTTCCACCATGGGCCTCAAAAGGCGCTAAATATCCACCGGGAAATTCTACAAAAAGAGAGTTAGAAAACTGCTCTATCGAAAGGAAGCTTCAACGCTGCCAGTTGAAAGCACACATCACGAAGAAGTTTATGAGAATTCTTCTGTCCAGTTTTGTATGAAGCAGTCACGTTTCAAACGAAGGCCACAAAGAGGTCCAAATATCCACTTGGAGATTCAACAAAAAGAGTTTTTCAAAAGTGCTCCATCAAGAGGAATATTCAACTCTGAGAGCTGAAGGCAGGTAACACAAAATAGTTTCCGACAATGCTTCTGTCTAGTTTTTATGTGAAGACATTCCCTTTTGTACCACAGGCCTGAAAGCACTCTAAATATAGAATTGCAAATTCCACAAAAGGAGTGTTTAAAGCCGCTCTATCCAAAGAAAGGTTAAACTCTGTCAGCTGAATGCGCACATCACAGAGTAGCTTCAGAGAACAATTATGTCTAGTTTCTCTGTGAAGATATTTTCTCTTCTACATAGGCCTGAAACCGCTCTAAATATTCACTTGGAAACTCTAGAAAAAGAATATTTCAACACTCTTCTGTCAAAAGGAAGGTTGAACTCTGAGAGTTAAATGCACACATCACAAAGAAGTTTCTGGGAATTCTTCTGTCAAGGTTTCTATGAAGAAATCCCGTTTCCAATGAAGGCCTCAAAAAAGTCCAAATATTTACTTGCAGATTCTACAAAAAGAGTGTTTCATAACTGGTCTATCAAAAGAAAGGTTAAACTCAGTGAGTTGAACCCACACATCACAAAGTAGTTTCTGAGAATCATTGTGTCTAGTTCTCCTACGAAGATATTGCCTTTTCTACCATAGGCCTCAAATGGCGCAAAATATCCACCTGGAAATTCTACCAAAACTGAGTTTCAAAAGTGCTCTATTGAAAGGAAGCTTCACCTCTGTGAGTTGAAGGTACACATCACAAAGAAGTTTCTGAGAATTCTTCTGTCTAGTTGTAAATGAAGAAATCACGTTTCAAACGAAGGCCACAAAGAGGTCCAAATATCCACCTGCAGATTCTGCAAAAAGAGGGTTTCAAAACTGCTCCATCAAGAGGAATGTTCAACTCTGTGCCTTGAATGCAAATATCACAAATAAGTTTCTGACAATACTTCTGTCTAGATTTTATGTGAAGACATTCCCTTTTGTACCACAGGCCTGAAAGCACTCTAAATATAGAATTGCAAATTCCACAAAAAGAGTGTTTCCAAACTGCTCTATCAAAGGAAGTTTAAACTCTGTCAGCTTAATGCAAGCATCACAAAACAGCTTCGGAGAATGAATCTGCCTAGTTTTTCTGTGAAGATATTCCTTTTTCTGCCATAGACCTCAAACCGCTGTGAAAATCCACTTGGAAATCCTACGAAAAGAGTATGTCAAAACTCTTCTATCGAAAGGAAGTTTCAACTCCATGAGTTAAATGCACATACCACAAATAATTTTCTGAGGATTCTTCTTTCAAATTTTATATGAAGAAATCCCGTTTCCAAAGATGGCCTCAGAAAAGTCCCAAGATACACTTGCAGATTCTACAAAAAGAGTTTTTCAAAACTGCTCTATCAAAAGAAAGGTTAAACTCTGTGAGTTGAAGGCACACATCACAAAGTAGTTTCTGAGAATCATTCTGTCTAGTTTTTCTATGAAGATATTGCCTTTTCCACCATAGGCCTCAAACGGCGCTAAATATCCACTCGGAAATTCTACAAAAAGAGAGTTACAAAACTGCTCTATCGAAAGGAAGCTTCAACGCTGCGAGTTGAAAGCACACATCACGAAGAAGTTGATGAGAATTCTTCTGTCTACTTTTGTATGAAGCAGTCACGTTTCAAACGAAGGCCACAAAGAGGTCCAAATATCCACTTGGAGATTCAACAAAAAGAGTTTTTCAAAACTGCTCCATCAAGAGGAATATTCAACTCTGAGAGTTGAAGGCAGGTATCACAAAGTAGTTCCCGGCAATGCTTCTGTCTAGATTTTATGTGAGGACATTCCCTTTTGTACCACAGGCCTGAAAGCACTCTAAATATAGAATTGCAAATTCCACAAAAAGAGTGTTTAAAACCGCTCGATCCAAAGAAAGGTTAAACTCTGTAAGCTGAATGCGCACATCACAAAGTAGCTTCAGAGAACAATTATGTCTAGTCTTTCTGGGAAGATATTTTCTCTTCTACATAGGCCTGAAACCGCTCTAAATACTCACTTGGAAATTCTACAAAAAGAATACTTCAACACTCTTCCATCAAAAGGAAGGTTGAACTCTGAGAGTTAAACGCACACATCACAGAGAAGTTTCTGAGAATTCTTCTGTCAAGGTTTCTATGAAGAAATCCCGTTTCCAATGAAGGCCTCAAAAAAGTCCAAATATTTACTTGCAGATTCTACAAAAAGAGTGTTTCATAACTGGTCTATCAAAAGAAAGGTTAAACTCAGTGAGTTGAACCCACACATCACAAAGTAGTTTCTGAGAATCATTGTGTCTAGTTCTCCTACGAAGATATTGCCTTTTCTACCATAGGCCTCAAACGGCGCTAAATATCCACCTGGAAATTCTACCAAAACTGAGCTTCAAAAGTGCTCTATTGAAAGGAAGCTTCACCTCTGTGAGTTGAAGGTACACATCACAAAGAAGTTTCTGAGAATTCTTCTGTCTAGTTGTAAATGAAGAAATCACGTTTCAAACGAAGGCCACAAAGAGGTCCAAATATCCACTTGGAGATTCAACAAGAAGAGTTTTTCAAAACTGCTCCATCAAGAGGAATATTCAACTCTGAGAGTTGAAGGCAGGTATCACAAAGTAGTTCCCGACAATGCTTCTGTCTAGTTTTTATGTGAAGATATTTCCTTTCCTACTGTAGGCCTCAAAACGCTCTAAATATACACTTGCAAATTCCACATAAAGAGTGTTTCCAAACTGCTCTAGCAAAGGAAGTTTAAACTCTGTCAGCTTAATGCAAGCATCACAAAACAGCTTCGGAGAATGAATCTGCCTAGTTTTTCTGTGAAGATATTTCTTTTTCCGCCATAGACCTCAAACCGCTGTAAAAATCCACTTGGAAATTCTACAAAAAGAGTATTTCAAAACGCTTCTATCGAAAGGAAGTTTCAACTCCATGAGTTAAATGCACATATCTCAAATAATTTTCTGAGGATTCTTCCTTCAAGTTTTATACGAAGAAATCCCGTTTCCAAAGATGGCCTCAGAAAAGTCCCAATATACACTTGCAGATTCTACAAAAAGAGTTTTTCAAAACTGCTCTATCAAAAGAAAGGTGAAACTCTGTGAGTTGAAGGCACACATCACAATGTAGTTTCTGAGAATCATTCTGTCTAGTTTTTCTATGAAGATATTGCCTTTTCCACCATTGGCCTCAAACGGCGCTAAATATCCACTTGGAAATTCTACAAAAAGAGAGTTACAGAACGGCTCTATCGAAAGGAAGCTTCAACGCTGCGAGTTGAAAGCACACATCACGAAGAAGTTGATGAGAATTCTTCTGTCTACTTTTGTATGAAGCAGTCACGTCTCAAACGAAGGCCACAAAGAGGTCCAAATATCCACTTGGAGATTCAACAAAGAGAGTTTTTCAAAACTGCTCCATCAAGAGGAATATTCAACTCTGAGAGTTGAAGGCAGGTATCACAAAGTAGTTTCCGACAATGCTTCTGTCTAGATTTTATGTGAAGACATTCCCTTTTTTACCACAGGCCTGAAAGCACTCTAAGTATAGAATTGCAATTTCCACAAAAAGAGTGTTGAAAACCGCTCTATCCAAAGAAAGGTTAAACTCTGTCAGCTGAATGCGCACAACACAGAGTAGCTTCAGAGAACAATTATGTCTAGTTTTTCTGTGAAGATAGTTTCTCTTCTACATAGGACTGAGACCGCTCTAAATATGCACTTGGAAATTCTACAAAAAGAATATTTCAACACTCTTCTATCAAAAGGAAGGTTGAACTCTGAGAGTTAAACACACACATCACAGAGAAGTTTCTGAGAATTCTTCTGTCAAGGTTTATATGAAGAAACCCCGTTTCCAATGAAGGCCTCAAAAAAGTCCAAAAATTTACTTGCAGATTCCACAAAAAGAGTGTTTCATAACTGGTCTATCAAAAGAAAGGTTAAACTCAGTGAGTTGAACCCACACATCACAAAGTAGCTTCTGAGAATCATTCTGTCTAGTTCTCCTACGAAGATATTGCCTTTTCTACCATAGGCCTCAAACGGCGCTAAATATCCACCTGGAAATTCTACCAAAACTGAGCTTCAAAAGTGCTCTATTGAAAGGAAGCTTCACCTCTGTGAGCTGAAGGTACACATCACAAAGAAGTTTCTGAGAATTCTTCTGTCTAGTTGTAAATGAAGAAATCGCGTTTCAAACGAAGGCCACAAAGAGGTCCAAATATCCACCTGCAGATTCTGCAAAAAGAGGGTTTGAAAACTGCTCCATCAAGAGGAATGTTCAACTCTGTGCGTTGAATGCAAATATCACAAATAAGTTTCTGACAATACTTCCGCTTAGTTTTTATGTGAAGATATTTCCTTTCCTACTGTAGGCCTCAAAACGCTCTAAAGAGACACTTGCAAATTCCACAAAAAGAGGGTTTCAAAACTGCTCTATCAAAGGAAGTTTAAACTCTGTAAGCTGAATGCAAGCATCACAAAACAGCTTCGGAGAATGAATCTGCCTAGTTTTTCTGTGAAGATATTTCTTTTTCTACCATAGACCTCAAACCGCTGTGAAAATCCACTTGGAAATTCTACAAAAAGAGTATTTCAAAACTCTTCTATCGAAAGGAAGTTTCAACTCCATGAGTTAAATGCACATATCACAAATAATTTTCTGAGGATTCTTCTCTGAAGTTTTATATGAAGAAATCCCGTTTCCAAAGATGGCCTCAGAAAAGTCCCAATATACACTTGCAGATTCTACAAAAAGAGTTTTTGAAAACTGCTCTATCAAAAGAAAGGTTAAACTCTGTGAGTTGAAGGCACACATCACAAAGTAGTTTCTGAGAATCATTCTGTCTAGTTTTTCTATGAAGACATTGCCTTTTCCACCATAGGCCTCAAACGGCGCTAAATATCCCCTTGGAAATTCTACAAAAAGAGAGTTACAAAACTGCTCTATCGAAAGGAAGCTGCAACTCTGCGAGTTGAAAGCACACATCGCGAAGAAGTTGATGAGAATTCTTCTGTCTAGTTTTGTATGAAGAAGTCACGTCTCAAACGAAGGCCACAAAGAGGTCCAAATATCCACTTGGAGATTCAACAAAAAGCGTTTTTCAAAACTGCTCCGTCAAGAGGAATATTCAACTCTGAGAGTTGAAGGCAGGTATCACAAAGTAGTTTCCGACAACGCTTCGGTCTAGATTTTATGTGAAGACATTCCCTTTTGTACCACAGGCCTGAAAGCACTCTAAATATACAATTGCAAATTCCACAAAAAGAGTGTTTAAAACCGCTCTATCCAAAGAAAGCTTAAACTCTGTCAGCTGAATGCGCACATCACAAAGTGGCTTCAGAGAACAATTATGTCTAGTTTTTCTGTGAAGATATATTCTCTTCTACATAGGCCTGAAACCGTTCCAAATATTCACTTGGAAATTCTACAGAAAGAATATTTCAACAGTCTTCTCTCAAAAGGAAGGTTGAACTCTGAGAGTTAAACGCACACATCACAGAGTAGTTTCCGAGAATTCTTCTGTCAAGGTTTATATGAAGATACCGCGTTTCCAATGAAGGCCTCCAAAAAGTCCAAATATTTACTTGCCGATTCCACAAAAAGTGTGTTTCATAACTGGTCTATCAAAAGAAAGGTTAAACTCAGTGAGTTGAACCCACACATCACAAAGTAGCTTCTGGGAATCATTGTGTCTAGTTCTCCTACGAAGATATTGCCTTTTCTACCATAGGCCTCAAATGGCGCAAAATATCCACCTGGAAATTCTACCAAAACTGAGTTTCAAAAGTGCTCTATTGAAAGGAAGCTTCACCTCTGTGAGTTGAAGGTACACATCACAAAGAAGTTTCTGAGAATTCTTCTGTCTAGTTGTAAATGAAGAAATCACGTTTCAAACGAAGGCCACAAAGAGGTCCAAATATCCACCTGCAGATTCTGCAAAAAGAGGGTTTCAAAACTGCTCCATCAAGAGGAATGTTCAACTCTGTGCGTTGAATGCAAATATCACAAATAAGTTTCTGACAATACTTCTGTCTAGTTTTTATGTGAAGATATTTCCTTTCCTACTGTAGGCCTCAAAACGCTCTAAATATACACTTGCAAATTCCACAAAAAGAGTGTTTCCACACTGCTCTATCAAAGGAAGTTTAAACTCTGTCAGCTTAATGCAAGCATCACAAAACAGCTTCGGAGAATGAATCTGCCTGGTTTTTCTGTGAAGATATTTCTTTTTCTGCCATAGACCTCAAACCGCTGTAAAAATCCACTTGGAAATTCTACAAAAAGAGTATTTCAAAACTCTTCTTTCGAAAGGAAGTCTCAACTCCATGAGTTAAATGCACATATCACAAATAATTTTCTGAGGTTTCTTCTTTCAAGTTTTATATGAAGAAATCCCGTTTCCAAAGCTGGCCTCAGAAAAGTCCCAATATACACTTGCAGATTCTACAAAAAGAGTTTTTCAAAACTGCTCTATCAAAAGAAAGGTTAAACTCAGTGAGTTGAAGGCACACATCACAAAGTAGTTTCTGAGAATCATTCTGTCTAGTTTTTCTATGAAGATATCGCCTTCTCCACCATAGGCCTCAAGCGGCGCTAAATATCCACTTGGAAATTCTACGAAAAGAGAGTTACAAGACTGCTCTATCGAAAGGAAGCTTCAACTCTGCGAGTTGAAAGCACACATCACGAAGAAGTTTATGAGAATTCTTCTGTCTACTTTTGTATGAAGAAGTCACGTTTCAAATGAAGGCCACAAAGAGGGCCAAATATCCACTTGGAGATTCAACAAAAAGAGTTTTTCAAAACTGCTCCATCAAGAGGAACATTCAACTCTGAGAGTTGAAGGCAGGTATCACAAAGTAGTTTCCGACAATGCTTCTGTCTAGATTTTATGTGAAGACATTCCCTTTTGTACCACAGGCCTGAAAGCACTCTAAATACAGAATTGCAAATTCCACAAAAAGAGGGTTTAAAACCGCTCTATCCTAAGAAAGGTTAAACTCTGTCAGCTGAATGCGCACATCACAGAGTAGCTTCAGAGAACAATTATGTCTAGTTTTTCCGTGAAGATAGTTTCTCTTCCACATAGGCCTGAGACCGCTCTAAATATTCACTTGGAAATTCTGCAAAAAGAATATTTCAACACTCTTCTATCAAAAGGAAGGTTGAACTCTGAGAGGTAAACGCATACATCACAGAGAAGTTTCTGAGAATTCTTCTGTCAAGGTTTATATGAAGAAACCCCGTTTCCAATGAAGGCCTCAAAAAAGTCCAAATATTTACTTGCCGATTCCACAGAAAGAGTGTTTCATAACTGGTCTATCAAAAGAAAGGTTAAACTCAGTGAGTTGAACCCACACATCACAAAGTAGCTTCTGAGAATCATTCTGTCTAGTTCTCCTACGAAGATATTGCCTTTTCTACCATAGGCCTCAAACGGCGTTAAATATCCACCTGGAAATTCTACCAAAACTGAGCTTCAAAAGTGCTCTATTGAAAGGAAGCTTCACCTCTGTGAGTTGAAGGTACACATCACAAAGAAGTTTCTGAGAATTCTTCTGTCTAGTTGTAAATGCAGAAATCACGTTTCAAACGAAGGCCACAAAGAGGTCCAAATATCCAGCTGCAGATTCTGCAAAAAGAGGGTTTGAAAACTGCTCCATCAAGAGGAATGTTCAACTCTGTGCGTTGAATGCAAATATCACAAATAAGTTTCTGACAATACTTCTGTCTAGTTTTTATGTGAAGATATTTCCTTTCCTACTGTAGGCCTCAAAACGCTCTAAATATACACTTGCAAATTCCACAAAAAGAGTGTTTCCAAACTGCTCTATCAAAGGAAGTTTAAACTCTGTCAGCTTAATGCAAGCATCACAAAACAGCTTCGGAGAATGAATCTGCCTAGTTTTTCTGTGAAGATATTTCTTTTTCTGCCATAGACCTCAAACTGCTGTAAAAATCCACTTGGAAATTCTACAAACACAGTATTTCAAAACTCTTCTATCAAAAGGAATTCTGAACTCCATGAGTTAAATGCACATATCACAAATAATTTTCTGAGGATTCTTCTTTCAAGTTTTATATGAAGAAATCCCGTTTCCAAAGATGGCCTCAGAAAAGTCCCAATATACACTTGCAGATTCTACAAAAAGAGTTTTTCAAAACTGCTCTACCAAAAGGAAGGTTAAACTCTGTGAGTTGAAGGCACACATCACAAAGTAGTTTTTGAGAATCATTCTGACTAGTTTTTCTATGAAGATATCGCCTTTTCCACCATAGGCCTCAAATGGCGCTAAATATCCACTTGGAAATTCTACAAAAAGAGAGTTACTAAACTGCTCTATCGAAAGGAAGCTTCAACTCTGCGAGTTGAAAGCACACATCACGAAGAAGTTTATGAGAATTCTTCTGTCTACTTTTGTATGTAGCAGTCACGTTTCAAACGAAGGCCACAAAGAGGTCCAAATATCCACTTGGAGATTCAACAAAAAGAGTTTTTCAAAACTGCTCCATCAAGAGGAATATTCAACTCTGAGAGTTGAAGGCAGGTATCTCAAAGTAGTTCCCGACAATGCTTCTGTCTGGATTTTATGTGAAGACATTCCCTTTTATACCACAGGCCTGAAAGCACTCTAAATATAGAATTGCAAATTCCACAAAAAGAGTGTTTAAAACCGCTCTATCCAAAGAAAGGTTAAACTCTGTCAGCTGAATGCGCACATCACAGAGAAGCTTCAGAGAACAATTATGTCTAGTTTTTCCGTGAAGACAGTTTCTCTTCCACATAGGCCTGAGACGCTCTAAATATTCACTTGGAAATTCTGCAAAAAGAATATTTCAACACTCTTCTATCAAAAGGAAGGTTGAACTCTGAGAGTTAAACGCACACATCACAGAGAAGTTTCTGAGAATTCTTCTGTCAAGGTTTATATGAAGAAACCCCGTTTCCAATGAAGGCCTCAAAAAAGTCCAAAAATTTACTTGCAGATTCCACAAAAAGAGTGTTTCATAACTGGTCTATCAAAAGAAAGGTTAAACTCAGTGAGTTGAACCCACACATCACAAAGTAGCTTCTGAGAATCATTGTGTCTTGTTCTCCTACGAAGATATTGCCTTTTCTACCATAGGCCTCAAACGGCGCTAAATATCCACCTGGAAATTCTACCAAAACTGAGCTTCAAAAGTGCTCTATTGAAAGGAAGCTTCACCTCTGTGAGTTGAAGGTACACATCACAAAGAAGTTTCTGAGAATTCTTCTGTCTAGTTGTAAATGAAGAAATCACGTTTCCCACGAAGGCCACAAAGAGGTCCAAATATCCACTTGCAGATTCCACAAAAAGAGTGCTTCAAAACGGCTCCATCAAGAGGAATGTTCAACTCCGTGCGTTGAATGCAAACATCACAAATAAGTTTCTGGCAATACTTCTGTCTAGTTTATATGTGAAGATATTTCCTTTCCTACTGTAGGCCTCAAAACGCTCTAAATATACACTTGCAAATTCCACAAAAAGAGTGTTTCCAAACTGCTCTATCAAAGGAAGTTTAAACTCTGTCCGCTTAATGCAAGCATCACAAAACAGCTTCGGAGAATGAATCTGCCTAGTTTTTCTGTGAAGATATTTCTTTTTCTGCCATAGACCTCAAACCGCTGTAAAAATCCACTTGGAAATTCTACAAAAAGAGTATTTCAAAGCTCTTCTATCGAAAGGAAGTTTCAGCTCCATGAGTTAAATGCACATATCACAAATAATTTTCTGAGGATTCTTCTTTCAAGTTTTATATGAAGAAATCCCGTTTCCAAAGTTGGCCTCAGAAAAGTCCCAATATACACTTGCAGATTCTACAAAAAGAGTTTTTCAAAACTGCTCAATCAAAAGGAAGGTTAAACTCTGTGAGTTGAAGGCACACATCACAGAGTTGTTTCTGAGAATCATTCTGACTAGTTTTTCTATGAAGATATCGCCTTCTCCACCATAGGCCTCAAGCGGCGCTAAATATCCACTTGGAAATTCTACAAAAAGAGAGTTACAAGACTGCTCTATCGAAAGGAAGCTTCAACTCTGCGAGTTGAAAGCACACATCACGTAGAAGTTTATGAGAATTCTTCTGTCTACTTTTGTATGAAGCAGTCACGTTTGAAACGAAGGCCACAAAGAGGACCAAATATCCACTTGGAGATTCAACAAAAAGTGTTTTTCAAAACTGCTCCTTCAAGAGGAATATTCAACTCTGAGAGTTGAAGCCATGTATCACAAAGTAGTTACCGACAATGCTTCTGTCCAGTATTTTATGTGAAGACATTCCCTTTTGTACCACAGGCCTGAAAGCACTCTAAATATAGAATTGCAAATTCCACAAAAAGAGTGTTTAAAACGGCTCTATCCAAAGAAAGGTGAAACTCTGTAAGCTGAATGCGCACATCACAGAGTAGCTTCAGAGAACAATTATGTCTAGTTTTTCTGTGAAGATATTTCGTCTTCTACATAGGCCTGAAACCGCTCTAAATATTCACTTGGAAATTCTACAAAAAGAATATTTCAACCCTCTTCTATCAAAAGGAAGGTTGACCTCTGAGAGTTAAATGCACACATCACAAAGAAGTTTCTGAGAATTCTTCTGTCAAGGTTTATATGAAGAAACCCCGTTTCCAATGAAGGCCTCAAAAAAGTCCAAATATTTACTTGCCGATTCCACAGAAAGAGTGTTTCATAACTGGTCTATCAAAAGAAAGGTTAAACTCAGTGAGTTGAACCCACACATCACAAAGTAGCTTCTGAGAATCATTCTGTCTAGTTCTCCTACGAAGATATTGCCTTTTCTACCATAGGCCTCAAACGGCGCAAAATATCCACCTGGAAATTCTACCAAAACTGAGTTTCAAAAGTGCTCTATTGAAAGGAAGCTTCACCTGTGTGAGTTGAAGGTACACATCACAAAGAAGTTTCTGAGAATTCTTCTGTCTAGTTGTAAATGAAGAAATCACGTTTCAAACGAAGGCCACAAAGAGGTCCAAATATCCACCTGCAGACTCTGCAAAAAGAGGGTTTGAAAACTGCTCCATCAAGAGGAATGTTCAACTCTGTGCGTTGAATGCAAATATCACAAATAAGTTTCTGACAATACTTCTGTCTAGTTTTTATGTGAAGATATTTCCTTTCCTACTGTAGGCCTCAAAACGCTCTAAATAAACACTTGCAAACTCCACAAAAAGAGTGTTTCCAAACTGCTCTATCAAACGAAGTTTAAACTCTGTCAGCTGAATGCAAGCATCACAAAACAGCTTCGGAGAATGAATCTGCCTAGTTTTTCTGTGAAGATATTTCTTTTGCTGCCATAGACCTCAAACCGCTGTAAAAATCCACTTGGAAATTCTACAAAAAGAGTATTTCAAAACTCTTCTATCGAAAGGAAGTTTCAACTCCATGAGTTAAATGCACATATCACAAATAATTTTCTGAGGATTCTTCTTTCAAGTTTTATATGAAGAAATCCCGTTTCCAAAGATGGCCTCAGAAAAGTCCCAATATACACTTGCAGATTCTACAAAAAGAGTTTTTCAAAACTGCTCTATCAAAAGAAAGTTTAAACTCCGTGAGTTGAAGGCACACATCACAAAGTAGTTTCTGAGAATCATTCTGTCTAGTTTTTCTACGAAGATATTGCCTTTTCCACCATAGGCCTCAAACGGCGCTAAATATCCACTTGGAAATCCTACAAAAAGTGAGTTACAGAACTGCTCTATCGAAAGGAAGCTTCAACGCTGCGAGTTGAAAGCACACATCACGAAGAAGTTTATGAGAATTCTTCTGTCTAGTTTTGAATGAAGAAGTCACGTCTCAAACGAAGGCCACAAAGAGGTCCAAATATCCACTTGGAGATTCAACAAAAAGAGTTTTTCAAAACTGCTCCGTCAAGAGGAATATTCAACTCTGAGAGTTGAGGGCAGGTATCACAAACTAGTTTCCGACAACGCTTCTGTCTAGATTTTATGTGAGGACATTCCCTTCGTACCACAGGCATGAAAGCACTCTAAATATAGAATTGCAAATTCCACAAAAAGAGTGTTTAAAACCGCTCTATCCAAAGAAAGGTTAAACTCTGTAAGCTGAATGCGCACATCACAAAGTAGCTTCAGAGAACAATTATGTCTAGTTTTTCTGTGAAGATATTTTCTCTTCTACTTAGGCCTGAAACCGCTCTAAATATTCACTTGGAAATTCTACAAAAAGAATATTTCAACCCTCTTCTATCAAAAGGAAGGTTGAACTCTGAGAGTTAAATGCAGACATCACAGAGAAGTTTCTGGGAATTCTTCTGTCAAGGTTTATATGAAGAAATCCCGTTTCCAATGAAGGCCTCAAAAAAGTCCAAATATTTACTTGCAGATTCTACAAAAAGAGTGTTTCATAACTGGTCTATCAAAAGAAAGGTTAAACTCCGTGAGTTGAACGCACACATCACAAAGTTGTTTCTGAGAATCATTCTGTCTAGTTCTCCTACGAAGATATTGCCTTTTCTACCATAGGCCTCAAACGGCGCTAAATATCCACCTGGAAATTCTACCAAAACTGAGTTTCAAAAGTTCTCTATTGAAAGGAAGCTTCACCTCTGTGAGTTGAAGGTACACATCACAAAGAAGTTTCTGAGAATTCTTCTGTCTAGTTGTAAATGCAGAAATCACGTTTCAACGAAGGCCACAAAGAGGTCCAAATATCCAGCTGCAGATTCTGTAAAAAGAGGGTTTGAAAACAGCTCCATCAAGAGGAATGTTCAACTCTGTGCGTTGAATGCAAATATCACAAATAAGTTTCTGACAATACTTCTGTGTAGTTTTTATGTGAAGATATTTCCTTTCCTACTGTAGGCCTCAAAACGCTCTAAATATACACTTGCAAATTCCACAAAAAGAGTGTTTCCAAACTGCTCTCTCAAAGGAAGTTTAAACTCTGTCCGCCTAATGCAAGCATCACAAAACAGCTTCGGAGAATGAATCTGCCTAGTTTTTCTGTGAAGATATTTCTTTTTCTGCCATAGACCTCAAACCGCTGTAAAAATCCACTTGGAAATTCTACAAAAAGAGTATTTCAAAGCTCTTCTATCGAAAGGAAGTTTCAGCTCCATGAGCTAAATGCACATATCAGAAATAATTTTCTGAGGATTCTTCTTTCAAGTTTTATATGAAGAAATCCCGTTTCCAAAGATGGCCTCAGAAAAGTCCCAATATACACTTGCAGATTCTACAAAAAGAGTTTTTCAAAACTGCTCTATCAAAAGAAAGGTTAAACTCTGTGAGTTGAAGGCACACATCACAAAGTAGTTTCTGAGAATCATTCTGTCTAGTTTGTCTATGAAGATATTGCCTTTTCCACCATAGGCCTCAAACGGCGCTAAATATCCACTTGGAAATTCTACAAAAAGAGAGTTAGAAAACTGCTCTATCGAAAGGAAGCTGCAACTCTGCGAGTTGAAAGCACACATCGCGAAGAAGTTGATGAGAATTCTTCTGTCTACTTTTGTATGAAGCAGTCACGTTTGAAACGAAGGCCACAAAGAGGACCAAATATCCACTTGGAGATTCAACAAAAAGTGTTTTTCAAAACTGCTCCTTCAAGAGGAATATTCAACTCTGAGAGTTGAAGCCATGTATCACAAAGTAGTTACCGACAATGCTTCTGTCCAGTATTTTATGTGAAGACATTCCCTTTTGTACCACAGGCCTGAAAGCACTCTAAATATAGAATTGCAAATTCCACAAAAAGAGTGTTTAAAACGGCTCTATCCAAAGAAAGGTGAAACTCTGTAAGCTGAATGCGCACATCACAGAGTAGCTTCAGAGAACAATTATGTCTAGTTTCTCTGTGAAGATATTTTCTCTTCTACATAGGCCTGAAACCGCTCTAAATATTCACTTGGAAATTCTACAAAAAGAATATTTCAACACTCCTCTATCAAAAGGAAGGTTGAACTCTGAGAGTTAAATGCACACATCACAAAGAAGTTTCTGGGGATTCTTCTGTCAAGGTTTATATGAAGAGATCCCGTTTCCAATGAAGGCCTCAAAAAAGTCCACATATTTACTTGCAGATTCTACAAAAAGAGTGTTTCATAACTGGTCTATCAAAAGAAAGGTTAAACTCCGTGAGTTGAACGCACACATCACAAAGCTGTTTCTGAGAATCATTCTGTCTAGTTCTCCTACGGAGATATTGCCTTTTCTACCATAGGCCTCAAACGGCGCAAAACATCCACCTGGAAATTCTACCAAAACTGAGTTTCAAAAGTGCTCTATTGAAAGGAAGCTTCACCTCTGTGAGTTGAAGGTACACATCACTAAGAAGTTTCTGAGAATTCTTCTGTCTAGTTGTAAATGAAGAAATCACGTTTCAAGCGATGGCCACAAAGAGGTCCAAATATCCACCTGCAGATTCTGCAAAAAGAGGGTTTCAAAACTGCTCCATCAAGAGGAATGTTCAACTCTGTGCGTTGAATGCAAATATCACAAATAAGTTTCTGACAATACTTCTGTCTAGTTTTTATGTGAAGATATTTCCTTTCCTACTGTAGGCCTCAAAACGCTCTAAATATACACTTGCAAATTCCACAAAAAGAGTGTTTCCAAACTACTCTATCAAAGGAAGTTTAAACTCTGTCCGCTTAATGCAAGCATCACAAAACAGCTTCGGAGAATGAATCTGCCTAGTTTTTCTGAGAAGATATTTCTTTTTCTGCCATAGACCTCAAACCGCTGTAAAAATCCACTTGGGAATTCTACAAAAAGAGTATGTCAAAACTCTTCTATCGAAAGGAAGTCTCAACTCCATGAGTTAAATGCTCATATCACAAATAATTTTCTGAGGATTCTTCTTTCAAGTTTTATATGAAGAAATCCCGTTTCCAAAGATGGCCTCAGAAAAGTCCCAATATACACTTGCAGATTCTACAAAAAGAGTTTTTCAAAACTGCTCTATGAAAAGGAAGATTAAACTCTGTGAGTTGAAGGCACACATCACAGAGTAGTTTCTGAGAATCATTCTGTCTAGTTTTTCTATGAAGATATCGCCTTCTCCACCATAGGCCTCAAGCGGCGCTAAATATCCACTTGGAAATTCTACAAAAAGAGAGTTACAAGACTGCTCTATCGAAAGGAAGCTTCAACTCTGCGAGTTGAAAGCACACATCACGAAGAAGTTTATGAGAATTCTTCTGTCTACTTTTGTATGAAGAAGTCACGTCTCAAACGAAGGCCACAAAGAGGTCCAAATATCCACTTGGAGATTCAACAAAAAGAGTTTTTCAAAACTGCTCCATCAAGAGGAACATTCAACTCTGAGAGTTGAAGGCAGGTATCACAAAGTAGTTTCCGACAATGCTTCTGTCTAGATTTTATGTGAGGACATTCCCTTTTGTACCACAGGCCTGAAAGCACTCTAAATATAGAATTGCAAATTCCACAAAAAGAGTGTTTAAAACCGCTCTATCCAAAGAAAGGTTAAACTCTGTAAGCTGAATGCGCACATCACAAAGTAGCTTCAGAGAACAATTATGTCTAGTTTTTCCGTGAAGATAGTTTCTCTTCCACATAGGCCTGAGACCGCTCTAAATATTCACTTGGAAATTCTGCAAAAAGAATATTTCAACACTCTTCTATCAAAAGGAAGGTTGAACTCTGAGAGGTAAACGCACACATCACAGAGAAGTTTCTGAGAATTCTTCTGTCAAGGTTTATAAGAAGAAACCCCGTTTCCAATGAAGGCCTCAAAAAAGTCCAAAAATTTACTTGCAGATTCCACAAAAAGAGTGTTTCATAACTGGTCTATCAATAGAAAGGTGAAACTCAGTGAGTTGAACCCACACATCACAAAGTAGCTTCTGAGAATCATTGTGTCTAGTTCTCCTACGAAGATATTGCCTTTTCTACCATAGGCCTCAAACGGCGCTAAATATCCACCTGGAAATTCTACCAAAACTGAGCTTCAAAAGTGCTCTATTGAAAGGAAGCTTCACCTCTGTGAGTTGAAGGTACACATCACAAAGAAGTTTCTGAGAATTCTTCTGTCTAGTTGTAAATGAAGAAATCACGTTTCAAACGAAAGCCACAAAGAGGTCCAAATATCCACCTGCAGATTCTGCAAAAAGAGTGTTTCAAAACTGCTCCATCAAGAGGAATGTTCAACTCTGTGCGTTGAATGCAAATATCACAAGTAAGTTTCTGACAATACTTCTGTGTAGTTTTTATGTGAAGATATTTCCTTTCCTCCTGTAGGCCTCAAAACGCTCTAAATATACACTTGCAAATTCCACAAAAAGAGTGTTTCCAAACTGCTCTCTCAAAGGAAGTTTAAACTCTGTCCGCTTAATGCAAGCATCACAAAAGAGCTTCGGAGAATGAATCTGCCTAGTTTTTCTGTGAAGATATTTCTTTTTCTGCCATAGACCTCAAACCGCTGTAAAAATCCACTTGGAAATTCTACAAAAAGACTATTTCAAAACTCTTCTATCGAAAGGAAGTTTCAACTCCATGAGTTAAATGCACATATCACAAATAATTTTCTGAGGATTCTTCTTTCAAGTTTTATATGAAGAAATCCCGTTTCCAAACATGGCCTCAGAAAAGTCCCAATATACACTGGCAGATTCTACAAAAAGAGTTTTTCAAAACTGCTCTACCAAAAGGAAGGTTAAACTCTGTGAGTTGAAGGCACACATCACAAAGTAGTTTCTGAGAATCATTCTGTCTAGTTTTTCTATGAAGATATTGCCTTTTCCACCATTGGCCTCAAACGGCGCTAAATATCCACTTGGAAATTCTACAAAAAGAGAGTTACAGAACTGCTCTATCGAAAGGAAGCTTCAACGCTGCGAGTTGAAAGCACACATCACGAAGAAGTTGATGAGAATTCTTCTGTCTAGTTTTGTAGGAAGAAGTCACGTCTCAAACGAAGGCCACAAAGAGGTCCAAATATCCACTTGGAGATTCAACAAAAAGAGTTTTTCAAAACTGCTCCGTCAAGATTAATATTCAACTCTGAGTGTTGAGGGCAGGTATCACAAACAAGTTTCCGACAACGCTTCTGTCTAGATTTTATGTGAAGACATTCCCTTTTGTACCACAGGCCTGAAAGCACTCTAAATATAGAATTGCAAATTCCACAAAAAGAGTGCTTAAAACCGCTCTATCCAAAGAAAGGTTAAACTCTGTCCGCTGAAGGCGCACATCACAAAGTAGCTTCAGAGAACAATTATGTCTAGTTTCTCTGTGAAGATATTTTCTCTTCTACATAGGCCTGAAACTGCTCTAAATATTCACTTGGAAACTCTAGAAAAAGAATATTTCAACACTCTTCTGTCAAAAGGAAGGTTGAACTCTGAGAGTTAAATGCACACATCACAAAGAAGTTTCTGGGAATTCTTCTGTCAAGGTTTATATGAAGAAACCCCGTTTCCAATGAAGGCCTCAAAAAAGCCCAAAAATTTACTTGCAGATTCCACAAAAAGAGTGTTTCATAACTGGTCTATCAAAAGAAAGGTGAAACTCAGTGAGTTGAACCCACACATCACAAAGTAGCTTCTGAGAATCATTCTGTCTAGTTTTTCTACGAAGATATTGCCTTTTCCACCATAGGCCTCAAACGGCGCTAAATATCCACCTGGAAATTCTACAGAAACTGAGTTTCAAAAGTGCTCTATTGAAAGGAAGCTTCAACTCTGTGAGTTGAAAGTACACATCACAAAGAAGTTTCTGAGAATTCTTCTGTCTAGATGTAAATGAAGAAATCACGTTTCACACGAAGGCCACTAAGAGGTCCAAATATCCACTTGCAGATTCCACAAAAAGAGTGCTTCAAAACGGCTCCATCAAGAGGAATGTTCAACTCCGTGCGTTGAATGCAAATATCACAAATAAGTTTCTGACAATACTTCTGTCTAGTTTTTAGGTGAAGATATTTCCTTTCCTACTGTAGGCCTCAAAACGCTCTAAATATACACTTGCAAATTCCACAAAAAGAGTGTTTCCAAACTGCTCTATCAAAGGAAGTTTAAACTCTGTCAGCTGAATGCAAGCATCACAAAACAGCTTCGGAGAATGAATCTGCCTAGTTTTTCTGTGAAGATATTTCTTTTGCTGCCATAGACCTCCAACCGCTGTAAAAATCCACTTGGGAATTCTACAAAAAGAGTATTTCAAAACTCTTCTATCGAAAGGAAGTTTCAACTCCATGAGTTAAATGCACATATCACAAATAATTTTCTGAGGACTCTTCTTTGAAGTTTTATATGAAGAAATCCCGTTTCCAAAGATGGCCTCAGATAAGCCCCAATGTACACTTGCAGATTCTACAAAAAGAGTTTTTCAAAACTGCTCTATCCAAAGAAAGGTTAAACTCTGTGAGTTGAAGGCACACATCACAAAGTAGTTTCTGAGAATCATTCTGTCTAGTTTTTCTATGAAGATATTGCCTTTTCCACCGTAGGCCTCAAACGGCGCTAAATATCCACTTGGAAATTCTACAAAAAGAGAGTTACTAAACTGCTCTATCGAAAGGAAGCTTCAACGCTGCGAGTTGAAAGCACACATCACGAAGAAGTTTATGAGAATTCTTCTGTCTACTTTTGTATGAAGAAGTCACGTCTCAAACGAAGGCCACAAAGAGGTCCAAATATCCACTTGGAGATTCAACAAAAAGAGTTTTTCAAAACTGCTCCATCAAGAGGAACATTCAACTCTGAGAGTTGAAGGCAGGTATCACAAAGTAGTTTCCGACAATGCTTCTATCAAGATTTTATGTGAAGACATTCCCTTTTGTACCACAGGCCTGAAAGCACTCTAAAGATAGAATAGCAAATTCCACAAAAAGAGGGTTTAAAACCGCTCTATCCAACGAAAGGTTAAACTCTGTCAGCTGAATGCGCACATCTCAGAGTAGCTTCAGAGAACAATTATGTCTAGTCTTTCTGGGAAGATATTTTCTCTTCTACATAGGCCTGAAACCGCTCTAAATATTCACTTGGAAATTCTACAAAAAGAATACTTCAACACTCTTCCATCAAAAGGAAGGTTGAACTCTGAGAGTTAAACGCACACATCACAGAGAAGTTTCTGAGAATTCTTCTGTCAAGGTTTATATGAAGAAACCCCGTTTCCAATGAAGGCCTCAAAAAAGTCCAAAGATTTACTTGCAGATTCTACAAAAAGAGTGTTTCATAAACTGGTCTATCAAAAGAAAGTTTAAACTCAGTGAGTTGAACCCACACATCACAAAGTAGCTTCTGAGAATCATTCTGTCTAGTTTTCCTACGAAGATATTGCCTTTTCTACCATAGGCCTCAAACGGCGCTAAATATCCACCTGGAAATTCTACAAAAACTGAGTTTCAAAAGTGCTCTATTGAAAGGAAGCTTCAACTCTGTGAGTTGAAGGTACACATCACAAAGAAGTTTCTGAGAATTCTTCTGTCTAGTTGTAAATGAAGAAATCACGTTTCAAACGAAGTCCACAAAGAGGTCCAAATATCCACCTGCAGATTCTGCAAAAAGAGTGTTTCAAAACTGCTCCATCAAGAGGAATGTTCAACTCTGTGCGTTGAATGCAAATATCACAAGTAAGTTTCTGACAATACTTCTGTGTAGTTTTTATGTGAAGATATTTCCTTTCCTACTGTAGGCCTCAAAACACTCTAAATATACACATGCAAATTCCACAAAAAGAGTGTTTCCAAACTGCTCTATCAAAGGAAGTTTAAACTCTGTCAGCTTAATGCAAGCATCACAAAACAGCTTCGGAGAATGAATCTGCCTAGTTTTTCTGTGAAGATATTTCATTTTCTGCCATAGACCTCAAACCGCTGTAAAAATCCACTTGGAAATTCTACAAAAAGAGTATTTCAAAACTCTTCTATCGAAAGGAAGTCTCAACTCCATGAGTTAAATGCACATATCACAAATAATTTTCTGAGGATTCTTCTTTCAAGTTTTATATGAAGAAATCCCGTTTCCAAAGATGGCCTCAGAAAAGTCCCAATATACACTTGCAGATTCTACAAAAAGAGTTTTTCAAAACTGCTCTACCAAGAGGAAGGTTAAACTCTGTGAGTTGAAGGCACACATCACAAAGTAGTTTCTGAGAATCATTCTGTCTAGTTTTTCTATGAAGATATTGCCTTTTCCACCATTGGCCTCAAACGGCGCTAAATATCCACTTGGAAATTCTACAAAAAGAGAGTTACAGAACTGCTCTATCGAAAGGAAGCTTCAACGCTGCGAGTTGAAAGCACACATCACGAAGAAGTTGATGAGAATTCTTCTGTCTACTTTTGTATGAAGAAGTCACGTCTCAAACGAAGGCCACAAAGAGGTCCAAATATCCACTTGGAGATTCAACAAAAAGAGTTTTTCAAAACTGCTCCATCAAGAGGAACATTCAACTCTGAGAGTTGAAGGCAGGTATCACAAAGTAGTTTCCGACAATGCTTCTGTCTAGATTTTATGCAAAGACATTCCCTTTTGTACCACAGGTCTGAAAGCACTCTAAATATAGAATTGCAAATTCCACAAAAAGAGTGTTGAAAACCGCTCTATCCAAAGAAAGGTTAAACTCTGTCAGCTGAATGCGCACATCACAGAGCAGCTTCAGAGAACAATTATGTCTAGTTTTTCTGTGAAGATAGTTTCTCTTCTACATAGGCCTGAAACCGCTCTAAATATTCACTTGGAAATTCTACAAAAAGAATATTTCAACACTCTTCTATCAAAAGGAAGGTTGAACTCTGAGAGTTAAACGCACACATCACAGAGAAGCTTCTGAGAATTCTTCTGTCAAGGTTTCTATGAAGAAATCCCGTTTCCAATGAAGGCCTCAAAAAAGTTCAAATATTTACTTGCAGATTCTACAAAAAGACTGTTTCATAACTGGTCTATCAAAAGAAAGGTTAAACTCAGTGATATGAACCCACACATCACAAAGTAGTTTCTGAGAATCATTCTGTCTAGTTTTCCTACGAAGATATTGCCTTTTCTACCATAGGCCTCAAACGGCGCTAAATATCCACCTGGAAATTCTACAAAAACTGAGTTTCAAAAGTGCTCTATTGAAAGGAAGCTTCAACTCTGTGAGTTGAAGGTACACATCACAACGAAGGTTCTGAGAATTCTTCTGTCTAGTTGTAAATGAAGAAATCACGTTTCACACGAAGGCCACAAAGAGGTCCAAATATCCACTTGCAGATTCTACAAAAAGAGTGTTTCAAAACGGCTCCATCAAGAGGAATGTTCAACTCTGTGCATTGAATGCAAATATCACAAATAAGTTTCTGACAATACTTCTGTGTAGTTTTTATGTGAAGATATTTCCTTTCCTACTGTCGGCCTCAAAACGCTCTAAATATACACTTGCAAATTCCACAAAAAGAGTGTTTCCAAACTGCTCTCTCAAAGGAAGTTTAAACTCTGTCCGCTTAATGCAAGCATCACAAAAGAGCTTCGGAGAATGAATCTGCCTAGTTTTTCTGTGAAGATATTTCTTTTTCTGCCATAGACCTCAAACCGCTGTAAAAATCCACTTGGAAATTCTACAAAAAGAGTATTTCAAAGCTCTTCTATCGAAAGGAAGTTTCAGCTCCATGAGTTAAATGCACATATCAGAAATAATTTTCTGAGGATTCTTCTTTGAAGTTTTATATGAAGAAATCCCGTTTCCAAAGATGGCCTCAGAAAAGTCCCAATATACCCTTGCAGATTCTACAAAAAGAGTTTTTCAAAACTGCTCTATCCAAAGAAAGGTTAAACTCTGTGAGTTGAAGGCACACATCACAATGTAGTTTCTGAGAATCATTCTGTCTAGTTTTTCTATGAAGATATTGCCTTTTCCACCATAGGCCTCAAACGGCGCTAAATATCCACTTGGAAATTCTACAAAAAGAGAGTTACAAAACTGCTCTATCGAAAGGAAGATGCAACTCTGCGAGTTGAAAGCACACATTGCGAAGAAGTTGATGAGAATTCTTCTGTCTACTTTTGTATGAAGCAGTCACGTTTCAAACGAAGGCCACAAAGAGGTCCAAATATCCACTTGGAGATTCAACAAAAAGAGTTTTTCAAAACTGCTCCATCAAGAGGAATATTCAACTCTGAGACTTGAAGGCAGGTATCCCAAAGTAGTTCCCGACAATGCTTCTGTCTAGATTTTATGTGAAGACATTCCCTTTTGTACCACAGGCCTGAAAGCACTCTAAATATAGAATTGCAAATTCCACAAAAAGAGTGTTGAAAACCGCTCTATCCAAAGAAAGGTTAAACTCTGTCAGCTGAATGCGCACATCACAGAGTAGCTTCAGAGAACAATTATGTCTAGTTTTTCCGTGAAGATAGTTTCTCTTCCACATAGGCCTGAGACCGCTCTAAATATTCACTTGGAAATTCTGCAAAAAGTATATTTCAACACTCTTCTATCAAAAGGAAGGTTGAACTCTGAGAGTTAAACGCACACATCACAGAGAAGTTTCTGAGAATTCTTCTGTCAAGGTTTATATGAAGAAACCCCGTTTCCAATGAAGGCCTCAAAAAAGTCCAAAAATTTACTTGCAGATTCCACAAAAAGAGTGTTTCATAACTGGTCTATCAAAAGAAAGGTTAAACTCAGTGAGTTGAACCCACACATCACAAAGTACCTTCTGAGAATCATTGTGTCTAGTTCTCCTACGAAGAATATTGCCTTTTCTACCATAGGCCTCAAACGGCGCAAAATATCCACCTGGAAATTCTACCAAAACTGAGTTTCAAAAGTGCTCTATTGAAAGGAAGCTTCACCTCTGTGAGTTGAAGGTACACATCACAAAGAAGTTTCTGAGAATTCTTCTGTCTAGTTGTAAATGAAGAAATCACGTTTCAAACGAAGGCCACAAAGAGGTCCAAATATCCACCTGCAGATTCCACAAAAAGAGTGTTTCAAAACTGCTGCATCAAGAGGAATGTTCAACTCT
This sequence comes from Homo sapiens, assembly GCF_000001405.40. NCBI lineage: Eukaryota > Metazoa > Chordata > Mammalia > Primates > Hominidae > Homo > Homo sapiens. The sequence continues at coordinate 91,175,183 of NC_000003.12, read as the reverse complement.
GTGCGTTGCATGCAAATATCACAAATAAGTTTCTGACAATACTTCTGTGTAGTTTTTATGTGAAGATATTTCCTTTCCTACTGTAGGCCTCAAAACGCTCTAAATATACACTTGCAAATTCCACAAAAGAGTGTTTCCAAACTGCTCTATCAAAGGAAGTTTTAACTCTGTCCGCTTAATGCAAGCATCACAAAACAGCTTCGGAGAATGAATCTGCCTAATTTTTCTGTGAAGATATTTCTTTTTCTGCCATAGACCTCAAACCGCTGTAAAAATCCACTTGGAAATTCTACAAAAAGAGTATTTCAAAGCTCTTCTATCGAAAGGAAGTTTCAGCTCCATGAGCTAAATGCACATATCAGAAATAATTTTCTGAGGATTCTTCTTTCAAGTTTTATATGAAGAAATCCCGTTTCCAAAGATGGCCTCAGAAAAGTCCCAATACACACTTACAGATTCTACAAAAAGAGTTTTTCAAAACTGCTCTACCAAAAGGAAGGTTAAACTCTGTGAGTTGAAGGCACACATCACAAAGTAGTTTCTGAGAATCATTCTGTCTAGTTTTTCTATGAAGATATTGCCTTTTCCACCATAGGCCTCAAACGGCGCTAAATATCCACTTGGAAATTCTACAAAAAGAGAGTTACTAAACTGCTCTATCGAAAGGAAGCTTCAACGCTGCGAGTTGAAAGCACACATCACGAAGTAGTTTATGAGAATTCTTCTGTCTACTTTTGTATGAAGCAGTCACGTTTCAAACGAAGGCCACAAAGAGGTCCAAATATCCACTTGGAGATTCAACAAAAAGAGTTTTTCAAAACTGCTCCGTCAAGAGGAATATTCAACTCTGAGAGTTGAAGGCAGGTATCCCAAAGTAGTTCCCGACAATGCTTCTGTCTAGATTTTATATGAAGACATTCCCTTTTGTACCACAGGCCTGAAAGCACTCTAAATATAGAATTGCAAATTCCACAAAAAGAGTGTTGAAAACCGCTCTATCCAAAGAAAGGTTAAACTCTGTCAGCTGAATGCGCACATCACAGAACAGCTTCAGAGAACAGTTATGTCTAGTTTTTCTGTGAAGATATTTTCTCTTCTACTTAGGCCTGAAACCGTTCTAAATATTCACTTGGAAATTCTACAAAAAGAAAATTTCAACCCTCTTCTATCAAAAGGAAGGTTGAACTCTGAGAGTTAAATGCACACATCACAGAGAAGTTTCTGAGAATTCTTCTGTCAAGGTTTATATGAAGAAACTCCCGTTTCCAATGAAGGCCTCAAAAAAGTCCAAAAATTTACTTGCAGATTCCACAAAAAGAGTGTTTCATAACTGGTCTATCAAAAGAAAGGTGAAACTCAGTGAGTTGAACCCACACATCACAAAGTAGCTTCTGAGAATCATTCTGTCTAGTTTTCCTACGAAGATATTGCCTTTTCTACCATAGGCCTCAAACGGCGCTAAATATCCACCTGGAAATTCTACAAAAACTGAGTTTCAAAAGTGCTCTATTGAAAGGAAGCTTCAACTCTGTGAGTTGAAGGTACACATCACAAAGAAGGTTCTGAGAATTCTTCTGTCTAGTTGTAAATGAAGAAATCACGTTTCAAACGAAGGCCACAAAGAGGTCCATATATCCACCTGCAGATTCTACAAAAAGAGTGCTTCAAAACTGCTCCATCAAGAGGAATGTTCAACACTGTGCGTTGAATGCAAATATCACAAATAAGTTTCTGACAATATTTCTGTCTAGTTTTTATGTGAAGATATTTCCTTTCCTACTGTAGGCCTCAAAACGCTCTAAATATACACTTGCAAATTCCACAAAAAGAGTGTTTCCAAACTGCTCTGTCAAAGGAAGTTTAAACTCTGTCCGCTTAATGCAAGCATCACAAAACAGCTTCGGAGAATGAATCTGCCTATTTTTTCTGTGAAGATATTCCCTTTTCTGCCATAGACCTCAAACCGCTGTAAAAATCCACTTGGAAATTCCACAAAAAGAGTATTTCAAAACTCTTCTATCGAAAGAAATTTTCAACTCCATGAGTTAAACGCACATGTCACAAATAATTTTCTGAGGATTCTTCTTTCAAGTTTTATATGAAGAAATCCCGTTTCCAAAGATGGCCTCAGAAAAGTCCCAATATACACTTGCAGATTCTACAAAAAGAGTTTTTCAAAACTGCTCTATGAAAAGGAAGATTAAACTCTGTGAGTTGAAGGCACACATCACAGAGTAGTTTCTGAGAATCATTCTGTCTAGTTTTTCTATGAAGATATTGCCTTTTCCACCATAGACCTCAAACGGCGCTAAATATCCACTTGGAAATTCTACAAAAAGAGAGTTACAAGGCTGCTCTATCAAAAGGAATCTTCAACTCTGCGAGTTGCAAGCACACATCCCAAAGTAGTTTATGAGAATTCTTCTGTCTAGTTTTGTATGAAGAAGTCACGTTTGAAACGAAGACCACAAAGAGGCCCAAATATCCACTTGGAGATTCAACAAAAAGAGTTTTTCAAAACTGCTCCATCACGAGGAATATTCAACTCGGAGAGTTGAAGGCAGGTATCACAAAGTAGTTTCCGACAATGCTTCTGTCTAGATTTTATGTGAAGACATTCCCTTTTGTACCACAGGCCTGAAATCACTCTAAATATAGAATTGCAAATTCCACAAAAAGAGTGTTGAAAACCGCTCTATCCAAAGAAAGGTTAAACTCTGTCAGCTGAATGCGCACATCACAGAGCAGCTTCAGAGAACAATTATGTCTAGTTTTTCTGTGAAGATAGTTTCTCTTCTACATAGGCTTAAAACCCCTCTAGATATTCACTTGGAAATTTTACAAAAGGAATATTTCAACACTCTTCTATCAAAAAGAAGGTTGAACTCTGAGAGTTAAAGGCACACATCACAGTGAAGTTTCTGAGAATTCTTCTGTCAGGGTTTATATGAAGAAACCCCGTTTCCAAAGAAGGCCTCAAAAAACTCCAAATATTTACTTGCCGATTCCACAGAAAGAGTGTTTCATAACTGGTCTATCAAAAGAAAGGTTAAACTCAGTGAGTTGAACCCACACATCACAAAGTAGCTTCTGAGAATCATTCTGTCTAGTTCTCCTACGAAGATATTGCCTTTTCTACCATAGGCCTCAAACGGCGCTAAATATCCACCTGGAAATTCTACCAAAACTGAGTTTCAAAAGTGCTCTATTGAAGGGAAGCTTCACCTCTGTGAGTTGAAGGTACACATCACAAAGAAGTTTCTGAGAATTCTTCTGTCTAGTTGTCAATGAAGAAATCACGTTTCACACGAAGGCCACAAAGAGGTCCAAATATCCACTTGCAGACTCTACAAAAAGAGTGTCTCAAAACGGCTCCATCAAGAGGAATGTTCAACTCTGTGCGGTGAATGCAAATATCACAAATAAGTTTCTGACAATACTTCTGTCTAGTTTTTAGGTGAAGATATTTCCTTTCCTACTGTAGGCCTCAAAGCGCTCTAAATATACACTTGCAAATTCCACAAAAAGAGTGTTTCCAAACTGCTCTATCAAAGGAAGTTTAAACTCTGTCAGCTGAATGCAAGCATCAGAAAACAGCTTCGGAGAATGAATCTGCCTAGTTTTTCTGTGAAGATATTTCTTTTGCTGCCATAGACCTCAAACCGCTGTAAAAATCCACTTGGAAATTCAACAAAAAGAGTATTTCAAAACTCTTCTATCGAAAGGAAGTTTCAACTCCATGAGTTAAATGCACATATCACAAATAATTTTCTGAGGATTCTTCTTTGAAGTTTTACATGAAGAAATCCCGTTTCCAAAGATGGCCTCAGAAAAGTCCCAATATACCCTTGCAGATTCTACAAAAAGAGTTTTTCAAAACTGCTCTATCCAAAGAAAGGTTAAAGTCTGTGAGTTGAAGGCACACATCACAAAGTAGTTTCTGAGAATCATTCTGTCTAGTTTTTCTATGAAGATATTGCCTTTTCCACCATAGGCCTCAAACGGCGGCTAAATATCCACTTGGAAATTCTACAAAAAGAGAGTTACAGAACTGCTCTATCGAAAGGAAGCTTCAACGCTGCGAGTTGAAAGCACACATCACGAAGAAGTTTATGAGAATTCTTCTGTCTACTTTTGTATGAAGCAGTCACGTTTCAGACGAAGGCCACAAAGAGGTCCAAATATCCACTTGGAGATTCAACAAAAAGAGTTTTACAAAACTGCTCCATCAAGAGGAATATTCAACTCTGAGAGTTGAAGGCAGGTATCACAAAGTAGTTCCCGACAATGCTTCTGTCTAAATTTTATGTGAAGACATTCCCTTTTGTACCACAGACCTGAAAGCACTCTAAGTATAGAATTGCAAATTCCACAAAAAGAGTGTTGAAAACCGCTCTATCCAAAGAAAGGTTAAACTCTGTCAGCTGAATGCGCACATCACAGAGTAGCTTCAGAGAACAATTATGTCTAGTTTTTCTGTGAAGATAGTTTCTCTTCTACATAGGCCTGAAACCGCTCTAAATATTCACTTGGAAATTCTACAAAAAGAATATTTCAACACTCTTCTATCAAAAGGAAGGTTGAACTCTGAGAGTTAAACGCACACATCACAGAGAGGTTTCTGAGAATTCTTCTGTCAGGGTTTATATGAAGAAACCCCGTTTCCAAAGAAGGCCTCAAAAAAGTCCAAATATTTACTTGCCGATTCCACAGAAAGAGTGTTTCATAACTGGTCTATCAAAAGAAAGGTTAAACTCAGTGAGTTGAACCCACACATCACAAAGTAGCTTCTGAGAATCATTCTGTCTAGTTCTCCTACGAAGAGTATTGCCTTTTCTAGCATAGGCCTCAAACGGCGCTAAATATCCACCTGGAAATTCTACCGAAACAGAGTTTCAAAAGTGCTCTATTGAAAGGAAGCTTCACCTCTGTGAGTTGAAGGTACACATCACAAAAAAGTTTCTGAGAATTCTTCTGTCTAGTTGTAAATGAAGAAATCACGTTTCACACGAAGGCCACAAAGAGGTCCAACTATCCACTTACAGATTCTACAAAAAGAGTGTCTCAAAACGGCTCCATCAAGAGGAATGTTCAACTCTGTGCGTTGAATGCAAATATAACAAATAAGTTTCTGACAATACTTCCGTCTAGTTTTTATGTGAAGATATTTCCTTTCCTACTGTAGGTCTCAAAACGCTCTAAAGAGACACTTGCAAATTCCACAAAAAGAGGGTGTCAAAACTGCTCTATCAAAGTAAGTTTAAACTCTGTAAGCTGAATGCAAGCATCACAAAACAGCTTCGGAGAATGAATCTGCCTAGTTTTTCTGTGAAGATATTTCTTTTGCTGCCATAGACCTCAAACCGCTGTAAAAATCCACTTGGAAATTCTACAAAAAGAGTATTTCAAAACTCTTCTATCGAAAGGAAGTTTCAACTCCATGAGTTAAATGCACATATCACAAATAATTTTCTGAGGATTCTTCTTTGAAGTTTTATATGAAGAAATCCCGTTTCCAAAGATGGCCTCAGATAAGCCCCAATATACACTTGCAGATTCTACAAAAAGAGCTTTTCAAAACTGCTCTACCAAAAGAAAGGTTAAACTCTGTGAGTTGAAGGCACACATGACAAAGCAGTTTCTGAGAATCATTCTGTCTAGTTTTTCTATGAAGATTTTGCCTTTTCCACCATAGGCCCCAAACGGCACTAAATATCCACTTGGAAATTCTTCAAAAAGAGAGTTACAAGACTGCTCTATCGAAAGGAAGCTTCAACTCTGCGAGTTGAAAGCACACATCACAAAGAAGTTTATGGGAATTCTTCTGTCTACTTTTGTATGAAGCAGTCACGTTTCAAACGAAGGCCACAAAGAGGTCCAAATATCGACTTGGAGATTCAACAAAAAGAGTTTTACAAAACTGCTCCATCAAGAGGAATATTCAACTCTGAGAGTTGAAGGCAGGTATCACAAAGTAGTTCCCGACAATGCTTCTGTCTAGATTTTATGTGAGGACATTCCCTTTTGTACCACAGGCCTGAAAGCACTCTAAATATAGAATTGCAAATTCCACAACAAGAGTGTTTAAAACCGCTCGATCCAAAGAAAGGTTAAACTCTGTAAGCTGAATGCGCACATCACAAAGTAGCTTCAGAGAACAATTATGTCTAGTTTTTCTGTGAAGATATTTCCTCTTCTACATAGGCCTGAAACCGCTCTAAATATTCACTTGGAAATTATACAAAAAGAATATTTCAACACTCTTCTATCAAAAGGAAGGTTGAACTCTGAGAGTTAAATGCACACATCACAAAGAAGTTTCTGAGAATTCTTCTGTCAAGGTTTATATGAAGAAATCCCGTTTCCAAGGAAGGCCTCAAAAAAGTCCAATATTTACTTGCAGATTCTACAAAAAGAGTGTTTCATAACTGGTCTATCAAAAGAAAGGTTAAACTCAGTGAGTTGAACGCACACATCACAAAGTTGTTTCTGAGAATCATTCTGTCTAGTTTTTCTATGAAGATATTGCCTTTTCTACCATAGGCCTCAAACGGCGCTAAATATCCACCTGGAAATTCTACAGAAACTGAGTTTCAAAAGTGCTCTATTGAAAGGAAGCTTCAACTCTGTGAGTTGAAAGTACACATCACAAAGAAGTTTCTGAGAATTCTTCTGTCTAGTTGTAAATGAAGAAATCACGTTTCCCACGAAGGCCACAAAGAGGTCCAAATACCCACTTGCAGATTCCACAAAAAGAGTGCTTCAAAACGGCTCCATCAAGAGGAATGTTCAACTCCGTGCGTTGAATGCAAATATCACAAATAAGTTTCTGACAATACTTCTGTCTAGTTTTTAGGTGAAGATATTTCCTTTCCTACTGTAGGCCTCAAAACGCTCTAAATATACACTTGCAAATTCCACAAAAAGAGTGTTTCAAAACTGCTCTATCAAAGGAAGTTTAAACTCTGTCAGCTGAATGCAAGCATCACAAAACAGCTCGGAGAATGAATTCTGCCTAGTTTTTCTGTGAAGATATTTCTTTTTCTGCCATAGACCTCAAACCGCTGGAAAATCCACTTGGAAATTCTACAAAAAGAGTATTTCAAAACTCTTGTGTCGAAAGGAAGTTTCAACTCCATGAGTTAAATGCACATATCACAAATAATTTTCTGAGGATTCTTCTTTCAAGTTTTATATGAAGAAATCCCGTTTCCAAAGATGGCCTCAGAAAAGTCCCAATATACACTTGCAGATTCTACAAAAAGAGTTTTTCAAAACTGCTCTATCAAAAGAAAGGTTAAACTCTGTGAGTTGAAGGCACACATCACACAGTAGTTTCTGAGAATTATTCTGTCTAGTTTTTCTATGAAGATATCGCCTTCTCCACCATAGGCCTCAAGCGGCGCTAAATATCCACTTGGAAATTCTACAAAAAGAGAGTTACAAGACTGCTCTATCGAAAGGAAGCTTCAACTCTGCGAGTTGAAAGCCCACATCACGAAGAAGTTTATGAGAATTCTTCTGTCTACTTTTGTATGAAGAAGTCACGTCTCAAACGAAGGCCACAAAGAGGTCCAAATATCCACTTGGAGATTCAACAAAAAGAGTTTTTCAAAACTGCTCCATCAAGAGGAACATTCAACTCTGAGAGTTGAAGGCAGGTATCACAAAGTAGTTTCCGACAATGCTTCTGTCTAGATTTTATGTGAAGACATTCCCTTTTCTACCACAGGCCTGAGAGCACTCTAAAGATAGAATAGCAAATTCCACAAAAAGAGGGTTTAAAACCGCTGTATCCAACGAAAGGTTAAACTCTGTCAGCTGAATGCGCACATCACAGAGTAGCTTCAGAGAACAATTATGTCTAGTTTCTCTGTGAAGATATTTTCTCTTCTACATAGGCCTGAAACCGCTCTAAATATTCACTTGGAAATTCCACAAAAAGACTATTTCAACACTCTTCTATCAAAAGGAAGGTTGAACTCTGAGAGTTAAACGCACACATCACAGAGAAGTTTCTGAGAATTCTTCTGTCAAGGTTTATATGAAGAAACCCCGTTTCCAATGAAGGCCTCAAGAAAGTCCAAATATTTACTTGCAGATTCTACAAAAACAGTGTTTCATAACTGGTCTATCAAAAGAAAGGTTAAACTCAGTGAGTTGAACCCACACATCACAAGGTAGCTTCTGAGAATCATTCTGTCTAGTTCTCCTACGAAGATATTGCCTTTTCTACCGTAGGCCTCAAACGGCGCTAAATATCCACCTGGAAATTCTACCAAAACTGAGCTTCAAAAGTGCTCTATTGAAAGGAAGCTTCACCTCTGTGAGTTGAAGGTATACATCACAAAGAACTTTCTGAGAATTCTTCTGTCTAGTTGTAAATGAAGAAATCACGTTTCAAAGGAAGGCCACAAAGAGGTCCAAATATCCACCTGCAGATTCTGCAAAAAGAGTGTTTCAAAACTGCTCCATCAAGAGCAATGTTCAACTCTGTGCGTTGAATGCAAATATCACAAGTAAGTTTCCGACAATACTTCTGTCTAGTTTTTAGGTGAAGATATTTCCTTTCCTACTGTAGGCCTCAAAACGCTCTAAATATACACTTGCAAATTCCACAAAAAGAGTGTTTCCAAACTGCTCTCTCAAAGGAAGTTTAAACTCTGTCAGCTGAATGCAAGCATCACAAAACAGCTTCGGAGAATGAATCTGCCTAGTTTTTCTGTGAAGATATTTCTTTTCCTGCCATAGACCTCAAACCGCTGTAAAAATCCACTTGGAAATTCTACAAAAAGAGTATTTCAAAGATCTTCTATCGAAAGGAAGTTTCAAATCCATGAGTTAAATGCACATATCACAAATAATTTTCTGAGGATTCTTCTTTCAAGTTTTATATGAAGAAATCCCGTTTACAAAGATGGCCTCAGAAAAGTCCAAATATACACTTGCAGATTCTACAAAAAGAATTTTTCAAAACTGCTCTATCAAAAGGAAGGTTAAACTCTGTGAGTTGAAGGCACACATCACAGAGTAGTTTCTGAGAATCATTCTGTCTAGTTTTTCTATGAAGATATTGCCTTTTCCACCATAGGCCTCAAACGCCGCTAAATATCCACTTGGAAATTCTACAAAAAGAGAGTTACTAAACTGCTCTTTCGAAAGGAAGCTTCAACGCTGCGAGTTGAAAGCACACATCACGAAGAAGTTTATGAGAATTCTTCTGTCTACTTTTGTATGAAGCAGTCACGTTTCAAAGGAAGGCCACAAAGAGGTCCAAATATCCACTTGGAGATTCAACAAAAAGAGTTTTTCAAAACTGCTCCGTCAAGAGGAATATTCAACTCTGCGAGTTGAAGGCTGGTATCACAAAGTAGTTCCCGACAATGCTTCTGTCTAGATTTTATGCGAAGACATTCCCTTTTGTACCACAGGCCTGAAAGCACTCTAAATATAGAATTGCAAATTCCACAAAAAGAGTGTTGAAAACCGCTCTATCCAAAGAAAGGTTAAACTCTGTCAGCTGAATGCGCACATCACAGAGCAGCTTCAGAGAACAGTTATGTCTAGTTTTTCAGTGAAGATATTTTCTCTTCTACATAGGCCTGAAACCGCTCTAAATATTCACTTGGAAATTCTACAAAAAGAATATTTCAACCCTCTTCTATCAAAAGGAAGGTTGAACTCTGAGAGTTAAATGCACACATCACAGAGAAGTTTCTGGGAATTCTTCTGTCAAGGTTTATATGAAGAAACCCCGTTTCCAATGAAGGCCTCAAAAAAGTCCAAATATTTACTTGCAGATTCTACAAAAACAGTGTTTCATAACGGGTCTATCAAAAGAAAGGTTAAACTCAGTGAGTTGAACCCACACATCACAAGGTAGCTTCTGAGAATCATTCTGTCTAGTTTTCCTACGAAGATATTGCCTTTTCTACCATAGGCCTCAAACGGCGCTAAATATCCACCTGGAAATTCTACAAAAACTGAGTTTCAAAAGTGCTCTATTGAAAGGAAGCTTCAACTCTGTGAGTTGAAGGTACACATCACAAAGAAGTTTCTGAGAATTCTTCTGTCTAGTTGTAAATGAAGAAATCACGTTTCCCACGAAGGCCACAAAGAGGTCCAAATATCCACTTGCAGATTCCACAAAAAGAGTGCTTCAAAACAGCTATATCAAGAGGAATGTTCAACTCCGTGCGTTGAATGCAAATATCACAAATAAGTTTCTGACAATACTTCTGTGTAGTTTTTATGTGAAGATATTGCCTTTCCTACTGTAGGCCTCAAAACGCTCTAAATATACACTTGCAAATTCCACAGAAAGAGTGTTTCCAAACTGCTCTATCAAAGGAAGTTTAAACTCTGTCAGCTTAATGCAAGCATCACAAAACAGCTTCGGAGAATGAATCTGCCTAGTTTTTCTGTGAAGATATTTCTTTTTCTGCCATAGACCTCAAACCGCTGTAAAAATCCACTTGGAAATTCTACAAAAAGAGTATTTCAAAACTCTTCTATCGAAAGGAAGTCTCAACTCCATGAGTTAAATGCACATATCACAAATAATTTTCTGAGGATTCTTCTTTCAAGTTTTATATGAAGAAATCCCGTTTCCAAAGATGGCCTCAGAAAAGTCCCAATATACACTTGCAGATTCTACAAAAAGAGTTTTTCAAAACTGCTCTATCAAAAGAAAGGTTAAACTCTGTGAGTTGAAGGCACACATCGCAAAGTAGTTTCTGAGAATCATTCTGTCTAGTTTTTCTATGAAGATATTGCCTTTTCCACCATAGGCCTCAAACGGCGCTAAATATCCACTTGGAAATTCTTCAAAAAGAGAGTTACAAGACTGCTCTATCGAAAGGAATCTTCAACTCTGCGAGTTGAAAGCACACATCACAAAGAAGTTTATGGGAATTCTTCTGTCTAGTTTTGTTTGAAGAAGTCACTTTTCAAACGAAGACCACAAAGAGGCCCAAATATCCACTTGGAGATTCAACCAAAAGAGTTTTTCAAAACTGCTCCATCACGAGGAATATTCAACTCGGAGAGATGAAGGCAGGTATCACAAAGTAGTTTCCGACAATGCTTCTGTCTAGATTTTATGTGAAGACATTCCCTTTTGTACCAGAGGCCTGAAAGCACTCTAAATATAGAATAGCAAATTCCACAAAAAGAGGGTTTAAAACCGCTCTATCCAAAGAAAGGTTAAACTCTGTCAGCTGAATGCGCACATCACAGAGTAGCTTCAGAGAACAATTATGTCTAGTTTTTCTGTGAAGATAGTTTCTCTTCTACATAGGCTTAAAACCCCTCTAGATATTCACTTGGAAATACTACAAAAAGAATATTTCAACACTCTTCTATCAAAAGGAAGGTTGATCTCTGAGAGTTAAACACACACATCACAGAGAAGTTTCTGAGAATTCTTCTGTCAAGGTTTATATGAAGAAACCCCGTTTCCAATGAAGGCCTCAAAAAAGTCCAAATATTTACTTGCAGATTCCACAGAAAGAGTGTTTCATAACTGGTCTATCAAAAGAAAGGTTAAACTCAGTGAGTTGAACCCACACATCACAAAGTAGCTTCTGAGAATCATTGTGTCTAGTTCTCATACGAAGATATTGCCTTTTCTACCATACGCCTCAAACGGCGCTAAATATCCACCTGGAAATTCTACCAAAACTGAGCCTCAAAAGTGCTCTATTGAAAGGAAGCTTCACCTCTGTGAGTTGAAGGTACACATCACAAAGAAGTTTCTGAGAATTCTTCTGTCTAGTTGTAAATGCAGAAATCACGTTTCAAACGAAGGCCACAAAGTAGGTCCAAATATCCAGCTGCAGATTCTGCAAAAAGAGGGTTTCAAATCTGCTCCATCAAGAGGAATGTTCAACTCTGTGCGTTGAATGCAAATATCACAAATAAGTTTCTGACAATACTTCTGTCTAGTTTTTAGGTGAAGATATTTCCTTTCCTACTGTAGGCCTCAAAACGCTCTAAATATACACTTGCAAATTCCACAAAAAGAGTGTTTCCAAACTGCTCTATCAAAGGAAGTTTAAACTCTGTCAGCTTAATGCAAGCATCACAAAACAGCTTCGGAGAATGAATCTGCCTAGTTTTTCTGTGAAGATATTTCTTTTTCTGCCATAGACCTCAAACCGCTGTAAAAATCCACTTGGAAATTCTACAAAAAGAGGATGTCAAAACTCTTCTATCGAAAGGAAGTTTCAACTCCATGAGTTAAATGCACATATCACAAATAATTTTCTGAGGATTCTTCTTTCAAGATTTATATGAAGAAATCCCGTTTCCAAAGATGGCCTCAGAAAACTCCCAATATACACTTGCAGATTCTACAAAAAGAGTTTTTCAAAACTGCTCTATCAAAAGGAAGGTTAAACTCTGTGAGTTGAAGGCACACATCACAGAGTAGTTTCTGAGAATCATTCTGTCTAGTTTTTCTATGAAGATATTGCCTTTTCCACCATTGGCCTCAAACGGCGCTAAATATCCACTTGGAAATTCTACAAAAAGAGAGTTACAGAACTGCTCTATCGAAAGGAAGCTTCAACGCTGCGAGTTGAAAGCACACATCACGAAGAAGTTGATGAGAATTCTTCTGTCTAGTTTTGTATGAAGCAGTCACGTCTCAAACGAAGGCCACAAAGAGGTCCAAATATCCACTTGGAGATTCAACAAAGAGAGTTTTTCAAAACTGCTCCATCAAGAGGAACATTCAACTCTGAGAGTTGAAGGCAGGTATCACAAAGTAGTTTCCGACAATGCTTCTGTCTAGATTTTATGTGAGGACATTCCCTTTTGTACCACAGGCCTGAAAGCACTCTAAATATAGAATTGCAAGTTCCACAAAAAGAGTGTTTAAAACCGCTCGATCCAAAGAAAGGTTAAACTCTGTAAGCTGAATGCGCACATCACAAAGTAGCTTCAGAGAACAATTATGTCTAGTTTTTCTGTGAAGATATTTCCTCTTCTACATAGGCCTGAAACCGCTCTAAATATTCACTTGGAAATACTACAAAAAGAATATTTCAACACTCTTCTATCAAAAGGAAGGTTGAACTCTGAGAGTTAAATGCACACATCACAAAGAAGTTTCTGAGAATTCTTCTGTCAAGGTTTATATGAGGAAACCCCGTTTCCAATGAAGGCCTCAAAAAAGTCCAAATATTTACTTGCAGATTCCACAAAAAGAGTGTTTCATAACTGGTCTATCAAAAGAAAGGTGAAACTCAGTGAGTTGAACCCACACATCACAAATTAGCTTCTGAGAATCATTGTGTCTAGTTTTCCTACGAAGATATTGCCTTTTCTACCATAGGCCTCAAACGGCGCTAAATATCCACCTGGAAATTCTACAAAAACTGAGTTTCAAAAGTGCTCTATTGAAAGGAAGCTTCAACTCTGTGAGTTGAAGGTACACATCACAAAGAAGTTTCTGAGAATTCTTCTGTCTAGTTGTCAATGAAGAAATCACGTTTCACACGAAGGCCACAAAGAGGTCCAAATATCCACTTGCAGATTCTACAAAAAGAGTGTTTCAAAACGGCTCCATCAAGAGGAACGTTCAACTCTGTGCGTTGAATGCAAATATCACAAATAAGTTTCTGACAATACTTCTGTCTAGTTTTTATGTGAAGATATTTCCTTTCCTACTGTAGGCCTCAAAACGCTCTAAATATACACTTGCAAATTCCACAAAAAGAGTGTTTCCAAACTGCTCTATCAAAGGAAGTTTAAACTCTGTCAGCTTAATGCAAGCATCACAAAACAGCTTCGGAGAATGAATCTGCCTAGTTTTTCTGTGAAGATATTTCTTTTTCTGCCATAGACCTCAAACCGCTGTAAAAATCCACTTGGAAATTCTACAAAAAGAGTATTTCAAAGCTCTTCTATCGAAAGGAAGTTTCAACTCCATGAGTTAAATGCACATATCACAAATAATTCTCTGAGGATTCTTCTTTCAAGTTTTATATGAAGAAATCCCGTTTCGAAAGTTGGCCTCAGAAAAGTCCCAATATACACTTGCAGATTCTACAAAAAGAGTTTTTCAAAACTGCTCTATCAAAAGGAAGGTTAAACTCTGTGAGTTGAAGGCACACATCACAGAGTAGTTTCTGAGAATCATTCTGTCTAGTTTTTCTATGAAGATATTGCCTTTTCCACCATAGGCCTCAAACGGCGCTAAATATCCACTTGGAAATTCTACAAAAAGAGAGTTACTAAACTGCTCTATCGAAAGGAAGCTTCAACGCTGCGAGTTGAAAGCACACATCACGAAGAAGTTTATGAGAATTCTTCTGTCTACTTTTGTATGAAGAAGTCACGTTTCAAACGAAGGCCACAAAGAGGTCCAAATATCCACTTGGAGATTCAACAAAAAGAGTTTTTCAAAACTGCTCCATCAAGAGGAATATTCAACTCTGAGAGTTGAAGGCATGTATCCCAATGTAGTTCCCGACAATGCTTCTGTCTAGATTTTATGTGAAGACATTCCCTTTTGTACCACAGGCCTGAAAGCACTCTAAATATAGAATTGCAAATTCCACAAAAAGAGTGTTTAAAACCGCTCTATCCAAAGAAAGGTTAAACTCTGTCAGCTGAATGCGCACATCACAGAGTAGCTTCAGAGAACAATTATGTCTAGTTTTTCCGTGAAGATAGTTTCTCTTCTACATAGGCCTGAGACCGCTCTAAATATTCACTTGGAAATTCTGCAAAAAGAATATTTAAACACTCTTCTATCAAAAGGATGGTTGAACTCTGAGAGGTAAACGCACACATCACAGAGAAGTTTCTGAGAATTCTTCTGTCAAGGTTTCTATGAAGAAATCCCGTTTCCAATGAAGGCCTCAAAAAAGTCCAAATATTTACTTGCAGATTCTACAAAAACAGTGTTTCGTAACTGGTCTATCAAAACAAAGGTTAAACTCAGTGAGTTGAACCCACACATCACAAAGTAGTTTCTGAGAATCATTCTGTCTAGTTTTCCTACGAAGATATTGCCTTTTCTACCATAGGCCTCAAACGGCGCTAAATATCCACCTGGAAATTCTACAAAAACTGAGTTTCAAAAGTGCTCTATTGAAAGGAAGCTTCAACTCTGTGAGTTGAAGGTACACATCACAAAGAAGTTTCTGAGAATTCTTCTGTCTAGTTGTAAATGAAGAAATCACGTTTCAAACGAAGGCCACAAAGAGGTCCAAATATCCACCTGCAGATTCTGCAAAAAGAGGGTTTCAAAACTGCTCCATCAAGAGGAATGTTCAACTCTGTGCGTTGAATGCAAATATCATAAGTAAGTTTCTGACAATACTTCTGTCTAGTTTTTATGTGAAGATATTTACTTTCCTACTGTAGGCCTCAAAAGGCTCTAAATATACACTTGCAAATTCCACAAAAAGAGTGTTTCCAAACTGCTCTATCAAAGGAAGTTTAAACTCTGTCAGGTTAATGCAAGCATCACAAAACAGCTTCAGAGAATGAATCTGCCTAGTTTTTCTGTGAAGATATTTCTTTTTCTGCCATAGACCTCAAACCGCTGTAAAAATCCACTTGGAAATTCTACAAAAACAGTATTTCAAAACTCTTCTATCGAAAGGAAGTCTCAACTCCATGAGTTAAATGCAGATATCACAAATAATTTTCTCAGGATTCTTCTTTCAAGTTTTATATGAAGAAATCCCGTTTCCAAAGATGGCCTCAGAAAAGTCCCAATATACACTTGCAGATTCTAAAAAAAGAGTTTTTCAAAACTGCTCTACCAAAAGGAAGGTTAAACTCTGTGAGTTGAAGGCACACATCACAAAGTAGTTTCTGAGAATCATTCTGTCTAATTTTTCTATGTAGATATTGCCTTTTCCACCATAGGCCTCAAACGGCGCTAAATATCCACTTGGAAATTCTACGAAAAGAGAGTTACAAAACTGCTCTATCGAAAGGAAGCTTCAACGCTGCGAGTTGAAAGCACACATCACGAAGAAGTTTATGAGAATTCTTCTGTCTACTTTTGTATGAAGCAGTCACGTTTCAAACGAAGGCCACAAAGAGGTCCAAATATCCATTTGGAGATTCAACAAAAAGAGTTTTTCAAAACTGCTCCGTCAAGAGGAATATTCAACTCTGAGAGTTGAAGGCAGGTATCACAAAGTAGTTCCCGGCAATGCTTCTGTCTAGATTTTATGTGAAGACATTCCCTTTTGTACCACAGGCCTGAAAGCACTCTAAATACAGAATTGCAAATTCCACAAAAAGAGGGTTTAAAACCGCTCTATCCTAAGAAAGGTTAAACTCTGTCAGCTGAATGCGCACATCACAGAGTAGCTTCAGAGAACAATTTTGTCTAGTTTTTCTGTGAAGATAGATTCTCTTCTACATAGGCCTGAGACCGCTCTAAATATTCCCTTGGAAATTCTACAAAAAGAATATTTCAACACTCTTCTATCAAAAGGAAGGTTGAACTCTGAGAGTTAAACGCACACATCACAGAGAAGTTTCTGAGAATTCTTCTGTCAAGGTTTATACGAGGAAACCCCGTTTCCAATGAAGGCCTCAAAAAAGTCCAAATATTTACTTGCAGATTCCACAAAAAGAGTGTTTCATAACTGGCCTATCAAAAGAAAGGTGAAACTCAGTGAGATGAACCCACACATCACAAAGTAGCTTCTGAGAATCATTCTGTCTAGTTCTCCTACGAAGATATTGCCTTTTCTACAATAGGCCTCAAACGGCGCTAAATATCCACCTGGAAATTCTACCAAAACTGAGTTTCAAAAGTGCTCTATTGAAAGGAAGCTTCACCTCTGTGGGTTGAAGGTACACATCACAAAGAAGTTTCTGAGAATTCTTCTGTCTAGTTGTAAATGAAGAAATCACGTTTCACACGAAGGCCACAAAGAGGTCCAAATATCCACTTGCAGATTCCACAAAAAGAGTGCTTCAAAACGGCTCCATCAAGAGGAATGTTCAACTCCGTGCGTTGAACGCAAATATCACAAATAAGTTTCTGACAATACTTCTGTATAGTTTTTATGTGAAGATATTTCCTTTCCTACTGTAGGCCTCAAAACGCTCTAAATATACACTTGCAAATTCCACAAAAAGAGTGTTTCCAAACTGCTCTATCAAAGGAGGTTTAAACTCTGTCCGCTTAATGCAAGCATCACAAAACAGCTTCGGAGAATGAATCTGCCTAGTTTTTCTGTGAAGATATTTCTTTTCCTGCCATAGACCTCAAACCGCTGTAAAAATCCACTTGGAAATTCTACAAAAAGAGTATTTCAAAGCTCTTCTATCGAAAGGAAGTTTCAAATCCATGAGTTAAATGCACATATCACAAATAATTTTCTGAGGATTCTTCTTTCAAGTTTTATATGAAGAAATCCCGTTTCCAAAGATGGCCTCAGAAAAGTCCCAATATACACTTGCAGATTCTACAAAAAGAGTTTTTCAAAACTGCTCTATCAAAAGGAAGGTTAAACTCTGTGAGTTTAAGGCACACATCACAGAGTAGTTTCTGAGAATCATTCTGTCTAGTTTTTCTATGAAGATATTGCCTTTTCCACCATAGGCCTCAAACGGCGCTAAATATCCACTTGGAAATTCTTCAATAAGAGAGTTACAAGGCTGCTCTATCGAAAGGAAGCTTCAACTCTGCGAGTTGAAAGCACACATCACAAAGAAGTTTATGGGAATTCTTCTGTCTAGTTTTGTATGAAGAAGTCACGTTTCAAACGAAGGCCACAAAGAGGTCCAAATATCCACTTGGAGATTCAACAAAAAGAGTTTTTCAAAACTGCTCCATCAAGAGGAATATTCAACTCTGAGAGTTGAAGGCAGGTATCACAATACAGTTTCCGACAATGCGTCTGTCTAGATTTTATGTGAAGACATTCCCTTTTGTACCACAGGCCTGAAAGCACTCTAAATATAGAATTGCAAATTCCACAAAAAGAGTGTTTAAAACCGCTCGATCCAAAGAAAGGTTAAACTCTGTAAGCTGAATGCGCACATCACAAAGAAGCTTCAGAGAACAATTATGTCAAGTTTTTCTGTGAAGATAGTTTCTCTTCTACATAGGCCTGAAACCGCTCTAAATATTCACTTGGAAATTCTACAAAAAGAATATTTCAACACTCTTCTATCAAAAGGAATGTTGAACTCTGAGAGTTAAACGCACACATCACAGAGAAGTTTCTGAGAATTCTTCTGGTAAGGCTTATATGAAGAAATCCCGTTTCCAATGAAGGCCTCAAGAAAGTCCAAATATTTACTTGCAGATTCTACAAAAAGAGTGTTTCATAACTGGTCTATCAAAAGAAAGGTTAAACTCAGTGAGTTGAACCCACACATCACAAAGTAGTGTCTGAGAATCATTCTGTCTAGTTTTTCTACGAAGATATTGCCTTTTCCACCATAGGCCTCAAACGGCGCTAAATATCCACCTGGAAATTCTACAGAAACTGAGTTTCAAAAGTGCTCTATTGAAAGGAAGCTTCAACTCTGTGAGTTGAAAGTACACATCACAAAGAAGTTTCTGAGAATTCTTCTGTCTAGTTGTAAATGAAGAAATCACGTTTCCCACGAAGGCCACAAAGAGGTCCAAATATCCACTTGCAGATTCCACAAAAAGAGTGCTTCAAAACGGCTCCATCAAGAGGAATGTTCAACTCCGTGCGTTGAATGCAAATATCACAAATAAGTTTCTGACAATACTTGTCTGTCTAGTTTTTAGGTGAAGATATTTCCTTTCCTACTGTAGGCCTCAAAACGCTCTAAATATACACTTGCAAATTCCACAAAAAGAGTGTTTCCAAACTGCTCTATCAAATGAAGTTTAAACTCTGTCAGCTGAATGCAAGCATCACAAAACAGCTTCAGAGAATGAATCTGCCTAGTTTTTCTGTGAAGATATTTCTTTTTCTGCCATAGACCTCACACCGCTGTAAAAATCCACTTGGAAATTCTACAAAAAGAGTATTTCAAAACTCTTCTATCGAAAGGAAGTTTCAACTCCATGAGTTAAATGCACATATCACAAATAATTTTCTGAGGATTCTTCTTTGAAGTTTTATATGAAGAAATCCTGTTTCCAAAGATGGCCTCAGAAAAGTCCCAATATACCCTTGCAGATTCTACAAAAAGAGTTTTTCAAAACTGCTCTATCCAAAGAAAGGTTAAACTCTGTGAGTTGAAGGCACACATCACAAAGTAGTTTCTGAGAATCATTCTGACTAGTTTTTCTATGAAGATATTGCCTTTTCCACCATAGGCCTCAAACGGCGCTAAATATCCACTTGGAAATTCTACAAAAAGAGAGTTACTAAACTGCTCTATCGAAAGGAAGCTTCAACGCTGCGACTTGAAAGCACACATCACGAAGAAGTTTATCAGAATTCTTCTGTCTACTTTTGTATGAAGCAGTCACGTTTCAAACGAAGGCCACGAAGAGGTCCAAATATCCACTTGGAGATTCAACCAAAAGTGTTTTACAAAACTGCTCCATCAAGAGGAATATTCAACTCTGAGAGTTGAAGGCAGGTATCACAAAGTAGTTCCCGACAATGCTTCTGTCTAGATTTTATGTGAAGACATTCCCTTTTGTACCACAGGCCTGAAAGCCCTCTAAATATAGAATTGCAAATTCCACAAAATATTGTTGAAAACCGCTCTATCCAAAGAAAGGTTAAAATCTGTCAGCTGAATGCGCACATCACAGAGCAGCTTCAGAGAACAATTATGTCTAGTTTTTCTGTGAAGATAGTTTCTCTTCTACATAGGCCTGAAACCGCTCTAAATATTCACTTGGTAATTCTACAAAAAGAATATTTCAACACTCTTCTATCAAAAGGAAGGTTGAACTCTGAGAGTTAAATGCACACATCACAGAGAAGTTTCTGAGAATTCTTCTGTCAAGGTTTATATGAGGAAACCCCGTTTCCAATGAAGGGCTCAAAAAAGTCTAAATATTTACTTGCAGATTCCACAGAAAGAGTGTTTCATAACTGGTCTATCAAAAGAAAGGTTAAACTCAGTGAGTTGAGCCCACACATCACAAAGTAGCTTCTGAGAATCATTCTGTCTAGTTCTCCTACGAAGATATTGCCTTTTCTACCATAGGCCTCAAACGGCGCTAAATATCCACCTGGAAATTCTACCAAAACTGAGCTTCAAAAGTGCTCTATTGAAAGGAAGCTTCACCTCTGTGAGTTGAAGGTACACATCACAAAGAAGTTTCTGAGAATTCTTCTGTCTAGTTGTAAATGAAGAAATCACGTTTCAAACGAAGGCCACAAAGAGGTCCAAATATCCACCTGCAGATTCTGCAAAAAGAGTGTTTCAAAACTGCTCCATCAAGAGGAATGTTCAACTCTGTGCGTTGAATGCAAATATCACAGGTAAGTTTCTGACAATACTTCTGTCTAGTTTTTATGTGAAGATATTTCCTTTCCTACTGTAGGCCTCAAAACGCTCTAAATATACACTTGCAAATTCCACAAAAAGAGTGTTTCCAAACTGCTCTATCAAAGGAAGTTTAAACTCTGTCAGCTTAATGCAAGCATCACAAAACAGCTTCGGAGAATGAATCTGCCTAGTTTTTCTGTGAAGATATTTCTTTTTCTGCCATAGACCTCAAACCGCTGTAAAAATCCACTTGGAAATTCTACAAAAAGAGTATTTCAAAACTCTTCTATCGAAAGGAATTCTCAACTCCATGAGTTAAATGCACATATCACAAATAATTTTCTGAGGATTCTTCTTTCACGTTTTATATGAAGAAATCCCGTTTCCAAAGATGGCCTCAGAAAAGTCCCAATATACACTTGCAGATTCTACAAAAAGAGTTTTTCAAAACTGCTCTACCAAAAGGAAGGTTAAACTCTGTGAGTTGAAGGCACACATCACAAAGTAGTTTCTGAGAATCATTCTGTCTAGTTTTTCTATGAAGATATCGCCTTCTCCACCATAGGCCTCAAACGGCGCTAAATATCCACTTGGAAATTCTACAAAAAGAGAGTTACAAGACTGCTCTATCGAAAGGAAGCTTCAACTCTGCGAGTGGAAAGCACACATCACGAAGTAGTTTATGAGAATTCTTCTGTCTACTTTTGTATGAAGCACTCACGTTTCAAACGAAGGCCACAAAGAGGTCCAAATATCCACTTGGAGATTCAACAAAAAGAGTTTTTCAAAACTGCTCCATCAAGAGGAATATTCAACTCTGAGAGTTGAAGGAAGGTATGCCAAAATAGTTCCCGACAATGCTTCTGTCTAGATTTTATGTGAAGACATTCCCTTTTGTACCACATGCCTGAAAGCCCTCTATATATAGAATTGCAAATTCCACAAAATATTGTTGAAAACCGCTCTATCCAAAGAAAGGTTAAAATCTGTCAGCTGAATGCGCACATCACAGAGCAGCTTCAGAGAACAGTTATGTCTAGTTTTTCTGTGAAGATATTTTATCTTCTACATAGGCCTGAAACCGCTCTAAATATTCACGTGGAAATTCTACAAAAAGAATATTCCAAACCTCTTCAATCAAAAGGAAGGTTGAACTCTGAGAGTTAAATGCACACATCACAGAGAAGTTTCTGGGAATTCTTCTGTCAAGGTTTCTATGAAGAAATCCCGTTTCCAATGAAGGCCTCAAAAAAGTCCAAATATTTACTTGCAGATTCTACAAAAAGAGTGTTTCATAACTGGTCTATCAAAAGAAAGGTTAAACTCAGTGAGTTGAACCCACACATCACAAAGTAGTTTCTGAGTATCATTCTGTCTAGTTTTCCTACGAAGATATTGCCTTTTCTACCATAGGCCTCAAACGGCGCTAAATATCCACCTGGAAATTCTACAAAAACTGAGTTTCAAAAGTGCTCTATTGAAAGGAAGCTTCAACACTGTGAGTTGAAGATACACATCACAAAGAAGTTTCTGAGAATTCTTCTGTCTAGTTGTAAATGAAGAAATCACGTTTCAAACGAAGGCCACAAAGAGGTCCAAATATCCACCTGCAGATTTTGCAAAAAGAGGGTTTCAAAACTGCTCCATCAAGAGGAATGTTCAACTCTGTGCGTTGAATGCAAATATCACAAATAAGTTTCTGACAATACTTCTGTCTAGTTTTTATGTGAAGATATTTCCTTTCCTACTGTAGGCCTCAAAACGCTCTAAATATACACATTGCAAATTCCACAAAAAGAGTGTCTCAAAACTGCTCTATCAAAGGAAGCTTAAACTCTGTAAGCTTAATGCAAGCATCGCAAAACAGCTTCGGAGAATGAATCTGCCTAGTTTTTCTGTGAAGATATTTCTTTTCCTGCCATAGACCTCACACCGCTGTAAAAATCCACTTGGAAATTCTACAAAAAGAGTATTTCAAAACTCTTCTATCGAAAGGAAGTTTCAACTCCCATGAGTTAAATGCACATATCACAAATAATTTTCTGAGGATTCTTCTTTCAAGTTTTATATGAAGAAATCCCGTTTCCAAAGATGGCCTCAGAAAAGTCCAAATATACACTTGCAGATTCTACAAAAAGAGTTTTTCAAAACTGCTCTATCAAAAGAAAGGTTAAATTCTGTGAGTTGAAGGCACACATCACAAAGTAGTTTCTGAGAATCATTCTGTCTAGTTTTTCTATGAAGATATTGCCTTTTCCACCATTGGCCTCAAACGGCGCTAAATATCCACTTGGAAATTCTACAAAAAGAGAGTTACAGAACTGCTCTATCGAAAGGAAGCTTCAACGCTGCGAGTTGAAAGCACACATCACGAAGAAGTTGATGAGAATTCTTCTGTCTACTTTTGTATGAAGAAGTCACGTCTCAAACGAAGGCCACAAAGAGGTCCAAATATCCACTTGGAGATTCAACAAAAAGAGTTTTTCAAAACTGCTCCATCAAGAGGAATATTCAACTCTGAGAGTTGAAGGCAGGAATCACAAAGTAGTTTCCGACAATGCTTCTGTCTAGATTTTATGTGAGGACATTCCCTTTTGTACCACAGGCCTGAAAGCACTCTAAATATAGAATTGCAAATTCCACAAAAAGAGTGTTTAAAACCGCTCGATCCAAAGAAAGGTTAAACTCTGTAAGCTGAATGCGCACATCACAAAGTAGCTTCAGAGAACAATTATGTCTAGTTTTTCCGTGAAGATAGTTTCTCTTCCACATAGGCCTGAGACCGCTCTAAATATTCACTTGGAAATTCTGCAAAAAGAATATTTCAACACTCTTCTATCAAAAGGAAGGTTGAACTCTGAGAGTTAAACGCACACATCACAGAGAAGTTTCTGAGAATTCTTCTGTCAAGGTTTCTATGAAGAAATCCCGTTTCCAATGAAGGCCTCAAAAAAGTCCAAATATTTACTTGCAGATTCTACAAAAAGAGTGTTTCATAACTGGTCTATCAAAAGAAAGGTTAAACTCAGTGAGTTGAACCCACACATCACAAAGTAGTTTCTGAGAATCATTCTGTCTAGTCCTCCTACGAAGATATTGCCTTTTCTACCATAGGCCTCAAACGGCGCTAAATATCCACCTGGAAATTCTACAAAAACTGAGTTTCTAAGGTGCTCTATTGAAAGGAAGCTTCAACTCTGTGAGTTGAAGGTACACATCACAAAGAAGTTTCTGAGAATTCTTCTGACTAGTTGTAAATGCAGAAATCACGTTTCAAACGAAGGCCACAAAGAGGTCCAAATATCCACATGCAGATTCTACAAAAAGAGTGTTTCAAAACTGCTCCATCAAGAGGAATGTTCAACTCTGTGCATTGAATGCCAATATCACAAATAAGTTTCTGACAATACTTCTGTCTAGTTTTTAGGTGAAGATATTTCCTTTCCTACTGTAGGCCTCAAAACGCTCTAAATATACACTTGCAAATTCCACAAAAAGAGTGTTTCAAAACTGCTCTATCAAAGGAAGTTTAAACTCTGTCAGCTGAATGCAAGCATCACAAAACAGCTTCGGAGAATGAATCTGCCTAGTTTTTCTGTGAAGATATTCCTTTTGCTGCCATAGACCTCAAACCGCTGTAAAAATCCACTTGGAAATTCTACAAAAAGAGTATTTCAAAACTCTTCTATCGAAAGGAAGTTTCAACTCCATGAGTTAAATGCACATATCGCAAATAATTTTCTAAGGATTCTTCTTTCAAGTTTTATATGAAGAAATCCCGTTTCCAAAGATGGCCTCAGAAAAGTCCCAATATACACTTGCAGATTCTACAAAAAGCGTTTTTCAAAACTGCTCTACCAAAAGGAAGGTTAAACTCTGTGAGTTGAAGGCACACATCACAACGTAGTTTCTGAGAATCATTCTGTCTAGTTTTTCTATGAAGATATCGCCTTCTCCACCATAGGCCTCAAGCGGCGCTAAATATCCACTTGGAAATTCTACAAAAAGAGTGTTACAAGACTGCTCTATCGAAAGGAAGCTTCAACTCTGCGAGTTGAAAGCACACATCACGAAGAAGTTTATGAGAATTCTTCTGTCTACTTTTGTATGAAGAAGTCACGTCTCAAATGAAGGCCACAAAGAGGTCCAAATATCCACTTGGAGATTCAACAAAAAGAGTTTTTCAAAACTGCTCCATCAAGAGGAACATTCAATTCTGAGAGTTGAAGGCAGGTATCACAAAGTAGTTTCCGACAATGCTTCTGTCTAGATTTTATGTGAAGACATTCCCTTTTGTACCACAGGCCTGAAAGCACTCTAAATACAGAATTGCAAATTCCACAAAAAGAGGGTTTAAAACCGCTCTATCCTAAGAAAGGTTAAACTCTGTCAGCTGAATGCGCACATCACAGAGTAGCTTCAGAGAACAATTATGTCTAGTTTTTCTGTGAAGATATTTTCTCTTCTACTTAGGCCTGAAACCGCTCTAAATATTCACTTGGAAATTCTACAAAAAGAATATTTCAACCCTCTTCTATCAAAAGGAAGGTTGAACTCTGAGAGTTAAATGCACACATCACAGAGAAGTTTCTGGAAATTCTTTTGTCAAGGTTTATATGAAGAAACCCCGTTTCCAATGAAGGCCTCAAAAAAGTCCAAATATTTACTTGCAGATTCCACAAAAAGAGTGTTTCATAACTGGTCTATCAAATAAAGGTTAAACTCAGTGAGTTGAACCCACACATCACAAAGTAGCTTCTGAGAATCATTCTGTCTAGTTCTCCTACGAAGATATTGCCTTTTCTACCATAGGCCTCAAACGGCGTTAAATATCCACCTGGAAATTCTACCAAAACTGAGCTTCAAAAGTGCTCTATTGAAAGGAAGCTTCACCTCTGTGAGTTGAAGGTACACATCACAAAGAAGTTTCTGAGAATTCTTCTGTCTAGTTGTCAATGAAGAAATCACGTTTCACACGAAGGCCACAAAGAGGTCCAAATATCCACTTGCAGATTCTACAAAAAGAGTGTCTCAAAACGGCTCCATCAAGAGGAATGTTCAACTCTGTGCGTTGAATGCAAATATCACAAATAAGTTTCTGACAATACTTCTGTGTAGTTTTTATGTGAAGATATTTCCTTTCCTACTGTAAGCCTCAAAACGCTCTAAAGATACACTTGCAAATTCCACAAAAAGAGTGTTTCCAAACTGCTCTATCAAAGGAAGTTTAAACTCTGTCCGCTTAATGCAAGCATCACAAAACAGCTTCGGAGAATGAATCTGCCTAGTTTTTCTGTGAAGATATTTCTTTTTCTGCCATAGACCTCAAACCGCTGTAAAAATCCACTTGGAAATTCTACAAAAAGAGTATTTCAAAGCTCTTCTATCGAAAGGAAGTTTCAGCTCCATGAGTTAAATACACATATCACAATTAATTTTCTGAGGATTCTTCTTTCAAGTTTTATATGAAGAAATCCCGTTTCCAAAGATGGCCTCAGAAAAGTCCCAATATACACTTGCAGATTCTACAAAAAGAGTTTTTCAAAACTGCTCTATCAAAAGGAAGGTTAAACTCTGTGAGTTGAAGGCACACGTCACAGAGTAGTTTCTGAGAATCATTCTGTCTAGTTTTTCTATGAAGATATTGCCTTTTCCACCATAGGCCTCAAACGGCGCTAAATATCCACTTGGAAATTCTACAAAAAGAGAGTTACTAAACTGCTCTATCGAAAGGAAGCTTCAACGCTGCGAGTTGAAAGCACACATCACGAAGAAGTTTATGAGAATTCTTCTGTCTACTTTTGTATGAAGCAGTCACGTTTCAAACGAAGGCCACAAAGAGGTCCAAATATCCACTTGGAGATTCAACAAAAAGAGTTTTTCAAAACTGCTCCGTCAAGAGGAATATTCAACTCTGAGAGTTGAAGGCTGGTATCACAAAGTAGTTCCCGACAATGCTTCTGTCTAGATTTTATGTGAAGACATTCCCTTTTGTACCACAGGCCTGAAAGCACTCTAAATATAGAATTGCAAATTCCACAGAAAGAGTGTTTAAAACCACTCTATCCAAAGAAAGGTTAAACACTGTCAGCTGAAGGCTCCCATCACAAAGTAGCTTCAGAGAACAATTATGTCTAGTTTCTCTGTGAAGATATTTTCTCTTCTACATAGGCCTGAAACCGCTCTAAATATTCACTTGGAAATTTTACAAAAAGAATATTTCAACACTCTTCTATCAAAAGGAAGGTTGAACTCTGAGAGTTCAATGCACACATCACAAAGAAGTTTCTGGGAATTCTTCTGTCAAGGTTTATATGAAGAAATCCCATTTCCAATGAAGGCCTCAAAAAAGTCCAAATATTTACTTGCAGATTCTACAAAAAGAGTGTTTCATAACTGGTCTATCAAAAGAAAGGTTAAACTCAGTGAGTTGAACCCACACATCACAAAGTAGTTTCTGAGAATCATTCTGTCTAGTTTTTCTACGAAGATAATTGCATTTTCCACCATAGGCCTCAAACGGCGCTAAATATCCACCTGGAAATACTACAGAAACTGAGTTTCAAAAGTGCTCTATTGAAAGGAAGCTTCAACTCTGTCAGTTGAAAGTACACATCACAAAGAAGTTTCTGAGAATTCTTCTGTCTAGTTGTAAATGAAGAAATCACGTTTCCCACGAAGGCCACAAAGAGGTCCAAATATACACTTGCAGATTCCACAAAAAGAGTGCTTCAAAACGGCTCCATCAAGAGGAATGTTCAACTCCGTGCGTTGAATGCAAATATCACAAATATGTTTCTGACAATACTTCTGTCTAATTTTTAGGTGAAGATATTTCCTTTCCTACTGTAGGCCTCAAAACGCTCTAAATATACACTTGCAAATTCCACAAAAAGAGTGTTTCAAAACTGCTCTATCAAAGGAAGTTTAAACTCTGTCAGCTGAATGCAAGCATCACAAAACAGCTTCGGAGAATGAATCTGCCTAGTTTTTCTGTGAAGATATTCCTTTTTCTGCCATAGACCTCAAACCACTGTAAAAATCCACTTGGAAATTCTACAAAAAGAGTATTTCAAAACTCTTCTATCGAAAGGAAGTTTCAACTCCATGAGTTAAACGCACATATCACAAATAATTTTCTGAGGATTCTTCTTTCAAGTTTTATATGAAGAAATCCCGTTTCCAAAGATGGCCTCAGAAAAGTCCCAATATACACTTGCAGATTCTACAAAAAGAGTTTTTCAAAACTGCTCTATCAAAAGAAAGGATAACTCTGTGAGTTGAAGGCACACATCACAAAGTAGTTTCTGAGAATCATTCTGTCTAGTTTTTCTATGAAGATATTGCCTTTTCCACCATTGGCCTCAAACGGCGCTAAATATCCACTTGGAAATTCTACAAAAAGAGAGTTACTGAACTGCTCTATCGAAAGGAAGCTTCAACGCTGCGAGTTGAAAGCACACATCACGAAGAAGTTGATGAGAATTCTTCTGTCTACTTTTGTATGAAGAAGTCACGTCTCAAACGAAGGCCACAAAGAGGTCCAAATATCCACTTGGAGATTCAACAAAAAGAGTTTTTCAAAACTGCTTCATCAAGAGGAATATTCAACTCTGAGAGTTGAAGGCAGGTATCACAATGTAGTTTCCGACAATGCTTCTGTCTAGATTTTATGTGAAGACATTCCCTTTTGTACCACAGGCCTGAAAGCACTCTAAATATAGAATTGCAAATTCCACAAAAAGAGGGTTTAAAACCGCTCTATCCAAAGAAAGGTTAAACTCTGTCAGCTGAATGCGCACATCACAGAGTAGCTTCAGAGAACAATTATGTCTAGTTTTTCCGTGAAGATAGTTTCTCTTCTACATAGGCCTGAGACCGCTCTAAATATTCACTTGGAAATTCTGCAAAAAGAATATTTCAACACTCTTCTATCAAAAGGAAGGTTGAACTCTGAGAGTTAAACGCACACATCACAGAGAAGTTTCTGAGAATTCTTCTGTCAAGGTTTATATGAAGAAACCCCGTTTCCAATGAAGGCCTGAAAACAGTCCAAATATTTACTTGCAGATTCCACAAAAAGAGTGTTTCATAACTGGTCTATCAAAAGAAAGGTTAAACTCAGTGAGTTGAACCCACACATCACAAAGTAGCTTCTGAGAATCATTCTGTCTAGTTCTCCTACGAAGATATTGCCTTTTCTATCATAGGCCTCAAACGGCACTAAATATCCACCTGGAAATTCTACCAAAACTGAGCTTCAAAAGTGCTCTATTGAAAGGAAGCTTCACCTCTGTGAGTTGAAGGTACACATCACAAAGAAGTTTCTGAGAATTCTTCTGTCTAGTTGTAAATGCAGAAATCACGTTTCAAACGAAGGCCACAAAGAGGTCCAAATATCCACATGCAGATTCTACAAAAAGAGTGTTTCAAAACTGCTCCATCAAGAGGAATGTTCAACTCTGTGCGTTGAATGCCAATATCACAAATAAGTTTCTGACAATACTTCTGTCTAGTTTTTATGTGAAGATATTTCCTTTCCTACTGTAGGCCTCAAAACGCTCTAAATAAACACTTGCAAACACCACAAAAAGAGTGTTTCCAAACTGCTCTATCAAAGGAAGTTTAATCTCTGTCAGCTGAATGCAAGCATCACAAAACAGCTTCGGAGAATGAATCTGCCTAGTTTTTCTGTGAAGATATTTCTTTTTCTGCCATAGACCTCAAACCGCTGTAAAAATCCACTTGGAAATTCTACAAAAAGAGTATTTCAAAACTCTTCTATCGAAAGGAAGTCTCAACTCCATGAGTTAAATACACATATCACAAATAATTTTCTGAGGATTCTTCTTTCAAGTTTTATATGAAGAAATCCCGTTTCCAAAGATGGCCTCAGAAAAGTCCCAATGTACACTTGCAGATTCTACAAAAAGAATTTTTCAAAACTGCTCTATCCAAAGAAAGTTTAAACTCTGTGAGTTGAAAGCACACATCACAAAGTAGTTTCTGAGAATCATTCTGTCTAGTTTTTCTATGAAGATATTGCCTTTTCCACCATAGACCTCAAACGGCGCTAAATATCCACTTGGAAATTCTACAAAAAGAGAGTTACAAGGCTGCTCTATCAAAAGGAATCTTCAACTACTGCGAGTTGCAAGCACACATCCCAAAGTAGTTTATGAGAATTCTTCTGTCTACTTTTGTATGAAGCAGTCACGTTTCAAACGAAGGCCACAAAGAGGACCAAATATCCACTTGGAGATTCAACAAAAAGTGTTTTTCAAAACTGCTCCTTCAAGAGGAATATTCAACTCTGAGAGTTGAAGCCATGTATCACAAAGTAGTTACCGACAATGCTTCTGTCTAGATTTTATGTGAAGACATTCCCTTTTGTACCACAGGCCTGAAAGCACTCTAAATACAGAATTGCAAATTCCACAAAAAGAGGGTTTAAAACCGCTCTATCCTAAGAAAGGTTAAACTCTGTCAGCTGAATGCGCACATCACAGAGTAGCTTCAGAGAACAATTATGTCTAGTTTTTCCGTGAAGATAGTTTCTCTTCTACATAGGCCTGAGACCGCTCTAAATATTCACTTGGAAATTCTGCAAAAAGAATATTTCAACACTCTTCTATCAAAAGGAAGGTTGAACTCTGAGAGGTAAACGCACACATCACAGAGAAGTTTCTGAGAATTCTTCTGTCAAGGTTTATATGAAGAGATCCCGTTTCCATTGAAGGCCTCAAAAAAGTCCAAATATTTACTTGCAGATTCTACAAAAAGAGTGTTTCATAACTGGTCTATCAAAAGAAAGGTTAAACTCCGTGAGTTGAACGCACACATCACAAAGTTGTTTCTGAGAATCATTCTGTCTAGTTTTCCTACGAAGATATTGCCTTTTCTACCATAGGCCTCAAACGGCGCTAAATATCCACCTGGAAATTCTACAAAAACTGAGTTTCAAAAGTGCTCTATTGAAAGGAAGCTTCAACTCTGTGAGTTGAAGGTACACATCACAAAGAAGTTTCTGAGAATTCTTCTGTCTAGTTGTCAATGAAGAAATCACGTTTCACACGAAGGCCACAAAGAGGTCCAAATATCCTCTTGCAGATTCTACAAAAAGAGTGTTTCAAAACGGCTCCATCAAGAGGAACGTTCAACTCTGTGCATTGAATGCAAATATCACAAATAAGTTTCTGACAATACTTCTGTCTAGTTTTTATGTGAAGATATTTCCTTTCCTACTGTAGGCCTCAAAACGCTCTAAATATACACTTGCAAATTCCACATAAAGAGTGTTTCCAAACTGCTCTATCAAAGGAAGTTTAAACTCTGTCAGCTTAATGCAAGCATCACAAAACAGCTTCGGAGAATGAATCTGCCTAGTTTTTCTGTGAAGATATTTCTTTTTCTGCCATAGACCTCAAACCGCTGTAAAAATCCACTTGGAAATTCTACAAAAAGAGTATTTCAAAACTTTTCTATCGAAAGGAAGCCTCAACTCCATGAGTTAAATGCACATATCACAAATAATTTTCTGAGGATTCTTCTTTCAAGTTTTATATGAAGAAATCCCGTTTCCAAAGATGGCCTCAGAAAAGTCCCAATATACACTTGCAGATACTACAAAAAGAGTTTTTCAAAACTGCTCTACCAAAAGGAAGGTTAAACTCTGTGAGTTGAAGGCACACATCACAAAGTAGTTTCTGAGAATCATTCTGTCTAGTTTTTCTATGAAGATATTGCCTTTTCCACCATAGGCCTCAAATGGCGCTGAATATCCACTTGGAAATTCTACAAAAAGAGAGTTACTAAACTGCTCTATCGAAAGGAAGCTTCAACGGTGCGAGTTGAAAGCACACATCAGGAAGAAGTTTATGAGAATTCTTCTGTCTACTTTTGTATGAAGCAGTCACGTTTCAAACGAAGGCCACAAAGAGGTCCAAATATCCCCTTGGAGAATCAACAAAAAGAGTTTTACAAAACTGCTCCATCAAGAGGAATATTCAACTCTGAGAGTTGAAGGCAGGTATCACAAAGTAGTTCCCGACAATGCTTCTATCTAGATTTTATGTGAAGACATTCCCTTTTGTACCACAGGCCTGAAAGCACTCTAATTATAGAATTGCAAATTCCACAAAAAGAGTGTTTAAAAGCGCTCTATCCAAAGAAAGGTTAAACTCTGTCAGCTGAATGCGCACATCAGAGAGTAGCTTCAGAGAACAATTATGTCTAGTTTCTCTGTGAAGATATTTTCTCTTCTACATAGGCCTGAAACCGCTCTAAATATTCACTTGGAAATTCTAGAAAAAGAATATTTCAACACTCTTCTGTCAAAAGGAAGGTTGAACTCTGAGAGTTAAATGCACACATCACAAAGAAGTTTCTGGGAATTCTTCTGTCAAGGTTTATATGAAGAGATCCCGTTTCCAATGAAGGCCTCAAAAAAGTCCAAATATTTACTTGCAGATTCTACAAAAAGAGTGTTTCATAACTGGTCTATCAAAAGAAAGGTTAAACTCCGTGAGTTGAACGCACACATCACAAAGTTGTTTCTGAGAATCATTCTGTCTAGTTCTCCTACGAAGATATTGCCTTTTCTACCATAGGCCTCAAATGGCGCAAAATATCCACCTGGAAATTCTACCAAAACTGAGTTTCAAAAGTGCTCTATTGAAAGGAAGCTTCACCTCTGTGAGTTGAAGGTACACATCACAAAGGAGTTTCTGAGAATTCTTCTGTCTAGTTGTAAATGAAGAAATCACGTTTCAAACGAAGGCCACAAAGAGGTCCAAATATCCACCTGCAGATTCTGCAAAAAGAGGGTTTCAAAACTGCTCCATCAAGAGGAATGTTCAACTCTGTGCGTTGAATGCAAATATCACAAATAAGTTTCTGACAATACTTCTGTCTAGTTTTTATGTGAAGATATTTCCTTTCCTACTGTAGGCCTCAAAACGCTCTAAATATACACTTGCAAATTCCACAAAAAGAGTGTCTCAAAACTGCTCTATCAAAGGAAGCTTAAACTCTGTAAGCTTAATGCAAGCATCGCAAAACAGCTTCGGAGAATGAATCTGCCCAGTTTTTCTGTGAAGATATTTCTTTTGCTGCCATAGACCTCACACCGCTGTAAAAATCCACTTGGAAATTCTACAGAAAGAGTATTTCAAAACTCTTCTATCGAAAGGAAGTTTCAACTCCATGAGTTAAATGCACATATCACAAATAATTTTCTGAGGATTCTTTTTTCAAGTTTTATATGAAGAAATCCCGTTTCCAAAGATGGCCTCAGAAAAGTCCCAATATACACTTGCAGATTCTACAAAAAGAGTTTTTCAAAACTGCTCTACCAAAAGGAAGGTTAAACTCTGTGAGTTGAAGGCACACATCACAAAGTAGTTTCTGAGAATCATTCTGTCTAGTTTTTCTATGAAGATATTGCCTTTTCCACCATAGGCCTCAAACGGCGCTAAATATCCACTTGGAAATTCTACAAAAAGAGAGTTACAGAACTGCTCTATCGAAAGGAAGCTTCAACGCTGCGAGTTGAAAGCACACATCACGAAGAAGTTTATGAGAATTCTTCTGTCTAGTTTTGTATGAAGGAGTCACGTCTCAAACGAAGGCCACAAAGAGGTCCAAATATCCACTTGGAGATTCAACAAAGAGAGTTTTTCAAAACTGCTCCATCAAGAGGAACATTCAACTCTGAGAGTTGAAGGCAGGTATCACAAAGTAGTTTCCGACAATGCTTCTGTCTAGATTTTATGTGAAGACATTCCCTTTTGTACCACAGGCCTGAAAGCACTCTAAATATAGAACTGCAAATTCCACAAAAAGAGTGTTGAAAACCGCTCTATCCAAAGAAAGGTTAAACTCTGTCAGCTGAATGCGCACATCACAGAGTAGCTTCAGAGAACAATTATGTCTAGTTTTTCCGTGAAGATAGTTTCTCTTCCACATAGGCCTGAGACCGCTCTAAATATTCACTTGGAAATTCTGCAAAAAGAATATTTCAACACTCTTCTATCAAAAGGAAGGTTGAACTCTGAGAGTTAAATGCACACATCACAGAGAAGTTTCTGAGAATTCTTCTGTCAAGGTTTATATGAAGAAACCCCGTTTCCAATGAAGGCCTCAAAAAAGTCCAAAAATTTACTTGCAGATTCCACAAAAAGAGTGTTTCATAACTGGTCTATCAAAAGAAAGGTTAAACTCAGTGAGTTGAACCCACACATCACAAAGTAGCTTCTGAGAATCATTCTGTCTAGTTCTCCTACGAAGATATTGCCTTTTCCACCATAGACCTCAAACGGCGCTAAATATCCACCTGGAAATTCTACCAAAACTGAGCTTCAAAAGTGCTCTATTGAAAGGAAGCTTCACCTCTGTGAGTTGAAGGTTCACATCACAAAGAAGTTTCTGAGAATTCTTCTGTCTAGTTGTAAATGAAGAAATCACGTTTCAAACGAAGGCCACAAAGAGGTCCAAATATCCACCTGCAGATTCTGCAAAAAGAGTGTTTCAAAACTGCTCCATCAAGAGGAATGTTCAACTCTGTGCGTTGAATGCAAATATCACAAGTAAGTTTCTGACAATACTTCTGTGTAGTTTTTATGTGAAGATATTTCCTTTCCTACTGTAGGCCTCAAAACGCTCTAAATATACACTTGCAAATTCCACAAAAAGAGTGTTTCCAAACTGCTCTCTCAAAGGAAGTTTAAACTATGTCCGCTTAATGCAAGCATCACAAAACAGCTTCGGAGAATGAATCTGCCTAATTTTTCTGTGAAGATATTTCTTTTTCTGCCATAGACATCAAACCGCTGTAAAAATCCACTTGGAAATTCTACAAAAAGAGTATTTCAAAGCTCTTCTATCGAAAGGAAGTTTCAGCTCCATGAGCTAAATGCACATATCACAAATAATTTTCTGAGGATTCTTCTTTCAAGTTTTATATGAAGAAATCCCGTTTCCAAAGATGGCCTCAGAAAAGTCCCAATATACACTTGCAGATTCTACAAAAAGAGTTTTTCAAAACTGCTCTATGAAAAGGAAGATTAAACTCTGTGAGTTGAAGGCACACATCACAGTGTAGTTTCTGAGAATCATTCTGTCTAGTTTTTCTATGAAGATATTGCCTTTTCCACCATAGGCCTCAAACGGCGCTAAATATCCACTTGGAAATTCTACAAAAAGAGGGTTACAAAACTGCTCTATCGAAAGGAAGCTTCAACTCTGCGAGTTGAAAGCACACATGACGAAGAAGTTTATGAGAATTCTTCTGTCTACATTTGTATGAAGCAGTCACGTTTCAAACGAAGGCCACAAAGAGGTCCAAATATCCACTTGGAGATTCAACAACAAGAGTTTTTCAAAACTGCTCCGTCAAGAGGAATATTCAACTCTGAGAGTTGAAGGCAGGTATCACAAAGTAGTTCCCGACAATGCTTCTGTCTAGATTTTATGTGAAGACATTCCCTTTTGTACCACAGGCCTGAAAGCACTCTAAATACGGAATTGCAAATTCCACAAAAAG
The DNA here is from genome assembly GCF_000001405.40 of Homo sapiens. NCBI lineage: Eukaryota > Metazoa > Chordata > Mammalia > Primates > Hominidae > Homo > Homo sapiens. Next base: position 91,140,220 of record NC_000003.12, on the reverse strand, counting down.
AGGGTTCAAAACCGCTCTATCCAAAGAAAGGTTAAACTCTGTCAGCTGAATGCGCACATCACAGAGTAGCTTCAGAGAACAATTGTGTCTAGTTTTTCTGTGAAGACATTTTCTCTTCTACATAGGCCTGAAACCGCTCTAAATATTCACTTGGAAATTCTACAAGAAGAATATTTCAACACTCTTCTATCAAAAGGAAGGTTGAACTCTGAGAGTTAAATGCACACATCACAAAGAAGTTTCTGAGAATTCTTCTGTCAAGGTTTATATGAAGAAACCCCGTTTCCAATGAAGGGCTCAAAAAAGTCCAAATATTTACTTGCCGATTCCACAGAAAGAGTGTTTCATAACTGGTCTATCAAAAGAAAGGTTAAACTCAGTGAGTTGAACCCACACATCACAAAGTAGCTTCTGAGAATCATTCTGTCTAGTTCTCCTACGAAGATATTGCCTTTTCTACCATAGGCCTCAAACGGCGCTAAATATCCACCTGGAAATTCTACCAAAACTGAGTTTCAAAAGTGCTCTATTGAAAGGAAGCTTCACCTCTGTCAGTTGAAGGTACACATCACAAAGAAGTTCCTGAGAATTCTTCTGTCTAGTTGTAAATGAAGAAATCACGTTTCAAATGAAGGCCACAAAGAGGTCCAAATATCCACCTGCAGATTCTGCAAAAAGAGTGTTTCAAAACTGCTCCATCAAGAGGAATGTTCAACTCTGTGCATTGAATGCAAATATCACAAGTAAGTTTCCGACAATACTTCTGTCTAGTTTTTATGTGAAGATATTTCCTTTCCTACTGTAGGCCTCAAAACGCTCTAAATAAACACTTGCAAACTCCACAAAAAGAGTGTTTCCAAACTGCTCTATCAAAGGAAGTTTAAACTCTGTCAGCTGAATGCAAGCATCACAAAACAGCTTCGGAGAATGAATCTGCCTAGTTTTTCTGTGAAGATATTTCTTTTGCTGCCATAGACCTCAAACCGCTGTAAAAATCCACTTGGGAATTCTACAAAAAGAGTATTTCAAAACTCTTCTATCGAAAGGAAGTTTCAACTCCATGAGTTAAATGCACATATCACAAATAATTTTGCTGAGGATTCTTCTTTCAAGTTTTATATGAAGAAATCCCGTTTCCAAAGATGGCCTCAGAAAAGTCCCAATATACACTTGCAGATTCTACAAAAAGAGTTTTTCAAAACTGCTCTATCAAAAGGAAGGTTAAACTCTGTGAGTTGAAGGCACACATCACAGAGTAGTTTCTGAGAATCATTCTGTCTAGTTTTTCTATGAAGATATTGCCTTTTCCACCATAGGCCTCAAACGGCGCTAAATATCCACTTGGAAATTCTACAAAAAGAGAGTTACTAAACTGCTCTATCGAAAGGAAGCTTCAAGGCTGCGAGTTGAAAGCACACATCACGAAGAAGTTTATGAGAATTCTTCTGTCTACTTTGGTGTGAAGCAGTCACGTTTCAAACGAATGCCACAAAGAGGTCCAAATATCCACTTGGAGATTCAACAAAAAGAGTTTTTCAAAACTGCTCCATCAAGAGGAATATTCAACTCTGAGAGTTGAAGGCAGGTATCCCAAAGTAGTTCCCGACAATGCTTCTGTCTAGATTTTATGTGAAGACATTCCCTTTTGTACCACAGGCCTGAAAGCACTCTAAATATAGAATTGCAAATTCCACAGAAAGAGTGCTTAAAACCGCTCTATCCAAAGAAAGTTTCAACTCTGTCAGCTGAAGGCGCACATCACAAAGTAGCTGCAGAGAACAATTATGTCTTGTTTTTCTGTGAAGATAGTTTCTCTTCTACATAGGCCTGAGACCGCTCTAAATATTCACTTGGAAATTCTACAAAAAGAATATTTCAACACTCTTCTATCAAAAGGAAGGTTGAACTCTGAGAGTTAAACGCACACATCACAGAGAAGTTTCTGAGAATTCTTCTGTCAAGGTTTATATGAAGAAACCCCGTTTCCAAAGAAGGCCTCCAAAAAGTCCAAATATTTACTTGCCGATTCCACAAAAAGAGTGTTTCATAACTGGTCTATCAAAAGAAAGGTTAAACTCAGTGAGTTGAACCCACACATCACAATGTAGCTTCTGAGAATCATTGTGTCTAGTTCTCCTACGAAGATATTGCCTTTTCTACCATAGGCCTCAAACGGCGCTAAATATCCACCTGGAAATTCTACCAAAACTGAGCTTCAAAAGTGCTCTATTGAAAGGAAGCTCCACCTCTGTGAGTTGAAGGTACACATCAAAAAGAAGTTTCTGAGAATTCTTCTGTCAAGTTGTAAATGAAGAAATCACGTTTCAAACGAAGGCCACAAAGAGGTCCAAATATCCACCTGCAGATTCTGCAAAAAGAGGGTTTCAAAACTGCTCCATCAAGAGGAATGTTCAACTCTGTGCGTTGAAGGCAAATATCACAAATAAGTTTCTGACAATACTTCTGTCTAGTTTTTATGTGAAGATATTTCCTTTCCTACTGTAGGCCTCAAAATGCTCTAAATATACACTTGCAAATTCCACAAAAAGAGTGTTTCCAAACTGCTCTATGAAAGGAAGTTTAAACTCTGTCCGCTTAATGCAAGCATCACAAAACAGCTTCGGAGAATGAATCTGCCTAGTTTTTCTGTGAAGATATTTCTTTTGCTGCCATAGCACCTCAAACCGCTGTAAAAATCCACTTGGGAATTCTACAAAAAGAGTATTTCAAAACTCTTCTATCGAAAGGAAGTTTCAACTCCATGAGTTAAATGCACATATCACAAATAATTTTCTGAGGATTCTTCTTTCAAGTTTTATCTGAAGAAATCCCGTTTCCAAAGATGGCCTCAGAAAAGTCCCAATATACACTTGCAGATTCTACAAAAAGAGTTTTTCAAAACTGCTCTATCAAAAGAAAGGTTAAACTCTGTGAGTTGAAGGCACACATCACAAAGTAGCTTCTGAGAATCATTCTGTCTAGTTTTTCTAGGAAGATATCGCCTTTTCCACCTTAGGCCTCAAACGGCGCTAAATATCCACTTGGAAATTCTACAAAAAGAGAGTTACAAGACTGCTCTATCGAAAGGAAGCTTCAACTCTGCGAGTTGAAAGCACGCATCACGAAGAAGTTTATGAGAATTCTTCTGTCTACTTTTGTATGAAGCAGTCACGTTTCAAACGAAGGCCACAAAGAGGTCCAAATATCCACTTGGAGATTCAACAAAAGGAGTTTTTCAAAACTGCTCCATCAAGAGGAATATTCAACTCTGAGAGTTGAAGGCAGGTATCACAAAGTAGTTCCCGACAATGCTTCTGTCTGGATTTTATGTGACGATATTCCCTTTTGTACCACAGGCCTGAAAGCACTCTAAATATAGAATTGCAAATTCCACAAAAAGAGTGTTTAAAACCGCTCTATCCAAAGAAAGGTTAAACTCTGTCAGCTGAATGCGCGCATCACAAAGTAGCTTCAGAGAACAATTATGTCTAGTTTTTCTGTGAAGATAGTTTCTCTTCTACATAGGACTGAGACAGCTCTAAATATGCACTTGGAAATTCTACAAAAAGAATATTTCAACACTCTTCTATCAAAAGGAAGGTTGAACTCTGAGAGTTAAACACACACATCACAGAGAAGTTTCTGAGAATTCTTCTGTCAAGGTTTATATGAGGAAACCCCGTTTCCAATGAAGGCCTCAAAAAAGTCCAAATATTTACTTGCAGATTCCAGAAAAAGAGTGTTTCATAACTGGTCTATCAAAAGAAAGGTTAAACTCAGTGAGTTGAACCCACACATCACAAGGTAGCTTCTGAGAATCATTCTGTCTAGTTCTCCTACGAAGATATTGCCTTTTCTACCATAGGCCTCAAACGGCGCTAAATATCCACCTGGAAATTCTACCAAAACTGAGCTTCAAAAGTGCTCTATTGAAAGGAAGCTTCAACTCTGTGAGTTGAAGGTACTCATCACAAAGAAGTTTCTGAGAATTCTTCTGTCTAGTTGTAAATGAAGAAATCACGTTTCACACGAAGGCCACAAAGAGGTCCAAATATCCACTTGCAGATTCCACAAAAAGAGTGCTTCAAAACGGCTCCATAAAGAGGAATGTTCAACACCGTGCGTTGAATGCAAATATCACAAATAAGTTTCTGACAATACTTCTGTGTAGTTTTTATGTGAAGATATTTCCTTTCCTACTGTAGGCCTCAAAATGCTCTAAATATACACTTGCAAATTCCACAAAAATAGTGTTTCCAAACTGATCTATCAAAGGAAGTTTAAACTCTGTCAGCTTAATGCAAGCATCACAAAACAGCTTCGGAGAATGAATCTGCCTAGTTTTTCTGTGAAGATATTTCTTTTTCTGCCATAGACCTCAAACCGCTGTAAAAATCCACTTGGAAATTCTACAAAAAGAGTATTTCAAAGCTCTTCTATCGAAAGGAAGTTTCAACTCCATGAGTTAAATGCACATATCACAAATAATTTTCTGAGGATTCTTCTTTCAAGTTTTATATGAAGAAATCCAGTTTCCAAAGATGGCCTCAGAAAAGTCCCAATATACACTTGCAGATTCTACAAAAAGAGTTTTTCAAAACTGCTCTATCAAAAGGAAGGTTAAACTCTGTGAGTTGAAGGCACACATCACAGAGTAGTTTCTGAGAATCATTCTGTCTAGTTTTTCTAGGAAGATATCGCCTTTTCCACCATAGGCCTCAAACGGCGCTAAATATCCACTTGGAAATTCTACAAAAAGAGAGTTACAAGACTGCTCTATTGAAAGGAAGCTTCAACTCTGCGAGTTGAAAGCACGCATCACGAAGAAGTTTATGAGAATTCTTCTGTCTACTTTTGTATGAAGCAGTCACGTTTCAAACGAAGGCCACAAAGAGGTCTAAATATCCACTTGCAGATTCAACAAAAAGAGTTTTACAAAACTGCTCCATCAAGAGGAATATTCAACTCTGAGAGTTGAAGGCAGGTATCCCAAAGTAGTTCCCGACAATGCTTCTGTCTAGATTTTATGTGAGGACATTCCCTTTTGTACCACAGGCCTGAAAGCATTCTAAATATAGAATTGCAAATTCCCCAAAAAGAGTGTTTAAAACCGCTCTATCCAAAGAAAGGTTAAACTCTGTAAGCTGAATGCGCACATCGCAAAGTAGCTTCAGAGAACCATTATGTCTAGTTTTTCTGTGAAGATATTTTCTCTTCTACATAGGCCTGAAACCGCTCTAAATATTCACTTGGAAATTCTACAGAAAGGATATTTCAACCCTCTTCTATCAAAAGGAAGGTTGAACTCTGAGAGTTAAATGCACACATCACAGAGAAGTTTCTGGGAATTCTTCTGTCAAGGTTTATATGAAGAGATCCCGTTTCCAATGAAGGCCTCAAAAAAGTCCAAATATTTACTTGCAGATTCTACAAAAAGAGTGTTTCATAACTAGTCTATCAAAAGAAAGGTTAAACTCCGTGAGTTGAACGCACACATCACAAAGTTGTTTCTGAGAATCATTGTGTCTAGTTCTCCTACGAAGATATTGCCTTTTCTACCATAGGCCTCAAACGGCGCTAAATATCCACCTGGAAATTCTACCAAAACTGAGGTTCAAAAGTGCTCTATTGAAAGGAAGCTTCACCTCTGTGAGTTGAAGGTACACATCACAAAGAAGTTTCTGAGAATTCTTCTGTCTAGTTGTAAATGAAGAAATCACGTTTCAAACGAAGGCCACAAAGAGGTCCAAATATCCACTTGCAGATTCTACAAAAAGAGTGTTTCAAAACGGCTCCATCAAGAGGAATGTTCAACTCTGGGCGTTGAATGCAAATATCACAAATAAGTTTCTGACAATACTTCTGTCTAGCTTTTATGTGAAGATATTTCCTTTCCTACTGTAGGCCTCAAAACGCTCTAAATATACACTTGCAAATTCCACAAAAAGAGTGTTTCCAAACTGCTCTATCAAAGGAAGTTTAAACTCTGTCAGCTTAATGCAAGCATCACAAAACAGCTTCGGAGAATGAATCTGCCTAGTTTTTCTGGGAAGATATTTCTTTTTCTGCCATAGACCTCAAAGCGCTGTAAAAATCCACTTGGAAATTCTACAAAAAGAGTATTTCAAAACTCTTCTATCGAAAGGAAGTCTCAACTCCATGAGTTAAATGCACATATCACAAATAATTTTCTGAGGATTCTTCTTTCAAGTTTTATATGAAGAAATCCCGTTTCCAAAGATGGCCTCAGAAAAGTCCCAATATACACTTGCAGATTCTACAAAAAGAGTTTTTCAAAACTGCTCTACCAAAAGGAAGGTTAAACTCTGTGAGTTGAAGGCACACATCACAAAGTAGTTTCTGAGAATCATTCTGTCTAGTTTTTCTATGAAGATATTGCCTTTTCCACCATAGGCCTCAAACGGCGCTAAATATCCACTTGGAAATTCTACAATAAGAGAGTTACAGAACTGCTCTATCGAAAGGAAGCTTCAACGCTGCGAGTTGAAAGCACACATCACGAAGAATTTTATGAGAATTCTTCTGTCTAGTTTTGTATGAAGAAGTCACCTCTCAAACGAAGGCCACAAAGAGGTCCAAATATCCACTTGGAGATTCAACAAAAAGAGTTTTTCAAAACTGCTCCATCAAGAGGAATATTCAACTCTGAGAGTTGAAGGCAGTTATCACAAAGTAGTTTCCGACAATGCTTCTGTCTAGATTTTATGTGAAGACATTCCCTTTTGTACCACAGGCCTGAAATCACTCTAAATATAGAATTGCAAATTCCACAAAAAGAGTGTTGAAAACCGCTCTATCCAAAGAAAGGTTAAACTCTCTCAGCTGAATGCGCACATCACAGAGCAGCTTCAGAGAACAATTCTGTCTAGTTTTTCTGTGAAGATAGTTTCTCTTCTACATAGGCCTCAAACAGCTCTAAATATTCACTTGGAAATTCTACAAAAAGAATATTTCAACACTCTTCTATCAAAAGGAAGGTTGAACTCTGAGAGTTAAATGCACACATCACAGAGAAGTTTCTGAGAATTCTTCTGTCAAGGTTTATATGAAGAAACCACGTTTCCAATGAAGGCCTCCAAAAAGTCCAAATATTTACTTGCCGATTCCACAAAAAGAGTGTTTCATAACTGGTCTATCAAAAGAAAGGTTAAACTCAGTGAGTTGAACCCACACATCACAAAGTAGCTTCTGAGAATCATTGTGTCTAGTTCTCCTACGAAGATATTGCCTTTTCTACCATAGGCCTCAAACGGCGCTAAATATCCACCTGGAAATTCTACCAAAACTGAGTTTCAAAAGTGCTCTATTGAAAGGAAGCTTCACCTCTGTGAGTTGAAGGTACACATCACAAAGAAGTTTCTGAGAATTCTTCTGTCTAGTTGTAAATGCAGAAATCACGTTTCAAACGAAGGCCACAAAGAGGTCCAAATATCCAGCTGCAGATTCTGCAAAAAGAGGGTTTCAAATCTGCTCCATCAAGAGGAATGTTCAACTACTGTGCGTTGAATGCAAATATCACAAATAAGTTTCTGACAATACTTCCGTCTAGTTTTTATGTGAAGATATTTCCTTTCCTACTGTAGGCCTCAAAACGCTCTAAATATACACTTGCAAATTCCACCAAAAGGGGGTTTCAAAACTGCTCTATCAAAGGAAGTTTAAACTCTGTAAGCTGAATGCAAGCATCACAAAACAGCTTCGGAGAATGAATCTGCCTAGTTTTTCTGTGAAGATATTTCTTTTTCTGCCATAGACCTCAAACCGCTGTGAAAATCCACTTGGAAATCCTACAAAAAGAGTATGTCAAAACTCTTCTAGCGAAAGGAAGTTTCAACTCCATGAGTTAAATGCACATATCACAAATAATTTTCTGAGGATTCTTCTTTCAAGTTTTATATGAAGAAATCCCGTTTCCAAAGATGGCCTCAGAAAAGTCCCAATATACACTTGCAGATTCTACAAAAAGAGTTTTTCAAAACTGCTCTACCAAGAGGAAGGTTAAACACTGTGAGTTGAAGGCACACATCACAAAGTAGTTTCTGAGAATCATTCTGTCTAGTTTTTCTATGAAGATATTGCCTTTTCCACCATAGGCCTCAAACGGCGCTAAATATCCACTTGGAAATTCTACAAAAAGAGAGTTACTAAACTGCTCTATCGAAAGGAAGCTTCAACGCTGCGAGTTGAAAGCACACATCACCAAGAAGTTTATGAGAATTCTTCTGTCTACTTTTGTATGAAGCAGTCACGTTTGAAACGAAGGCCACAAAGAGGACCAAATATCCACTTGGAGATTCAACAAAAAGTGTTTTTCAAAACTGCTCCTTCAAGAGGAATATTCAACTCTGAGAGTTGAAGCCATGTATCACAAAGTAGTTACCGACAATGCTTCTGTCTAGATTTTATGTGAAGACATTCCCTTTTGTACCACAGGCCTGAAAGCACTCTAAATATAGAATTGCAAATTCCACAAAAAGAGTGTTGAAAACCGCTCTATCCAAAGAAAGGTTAAACTCTGTCAGCTGAATGCGCACATCACAGTAGCAGCTTCAGAGAACAATTATGTCTAGTTTTTCTGTGAAGATAGATTCTCTTCTACATAGGCCTGAAACCGCTCTAAATATTCACTTGGAAATTCTACAAAAACAATATTTCAACACTCTTCTATCAAAAGGAAGGTTGAACTCTGAGAGTTAAACGCACACATCACAGAGAAGTTTCTGAGAATTCTTCTGTCAAGGTTTCTATGAAGAAATCCCGTTTCCAATGAAGGCCTCAAAAAAGTTCAAATATTTACTTGCAGATTCTACAAAAAGACTGTTTCATAACGGGTCTATCAAAAGAAAGGTTAAACTCAGTGATATGAACCCACACATCACAAAGTAGTTTCTGAGAATCATTCTGTCTAGTTCTCCTACGAAGATATTGCCTTTTCTACCATAGGCCTCAAACGGCGCAAAATATCCACCTGGAAATTCTACCAAAAGTGAGTTTCAAAAGTGCTCTAGTGAAAGGAAGCTTCACCTCTGTGAGTTGAAGGTACACATCACAAAGAAGTTTCTGAGAATTCTTCTGTCTAGTTGTCAATGAAGAAATCACGTTTCACACGAAGGCCACAAAGAGGTCCAAATATCCACTTGCAGATTCTACAAAAAGAGTGTCTCAAAACGGCTCCATCAAGAGGAATGTTCAACTCTGTGCGGTGAATGCAAATATCACAAATAAGTTTCTGACAATACTTCCGCTTAGTTTTTATGTGAAGATATTTCCTTTCCTACTGTAGGCCTCAAAACGCTCTAAAGAGACACTTGCAAATTCCACAAAAAGAGGGTTTCAAAACTGCTCTATCAAAGTAAGTTTAAACTCTGTAAGCTGAATGCAAGCATCACAAAACAGCTTCGGAGAATGAATCTGCATAGTTTTTCTGTGAAGATATTTCTTTTTCTGCCATAGACCTCAAACCGCAGTGAAAATCCACTTGGAAATTCTACAAAAAGAGTATTTAAAAACTCTTCTGTCGAAAGGAAGTTTCAACTCCATGAGTTAAATGCACATATCACAAATAATTTTCTGAGGATTCTTCTTTGAAGTTTTATATGAAGAAATCCCGTTTCCAAAGATGGCCTCAGATAAGTCCCAATATACACTTGCAGATTCTACAAAAAGAGCTTTTCAAAACTGCTCTATCAAAAGAAAGGTTAAACTCTGTGAGTTGAAGGCACACATGACAAAGCAGTTTCTGAGAATCATTCTGTCTAGTTTTTCTATGAAGATATTGCCTTTTCCACCATAGGCCTCAGACAGCGCTAAATATCCACTTGGAAATTCTACAAAAAGAGAGTTACTAAACTGCTCTATCGAAAGGAAGCTTCAAGGCTGCGAGTTGAAAGCACAAATCACGAAGAAGTTTATGAGAATTCTTCTGTCTACTTTTGTATGAAGCAGTCACGTTTCAAACGAAGGCCACAACGAGGTCCAAATATCCACTTGGAGATTCAACAAAAAGAGTTTTTCAAAACTGCTCCATCAAGAGGAATATTCAACTCTGAGAGTTGAAGGCAGGTATCACAAAGTAGTTCCCGGCAATGCTTCTGTCTAGATTTTATGTGAAGACATTCCCTTTTGTACCACAGGCCTGAAAGCACTCTAAATATAGAATTGCAAATTCCACAAAAAGAGTGTTTAAAACCGCTCTATCCAAAGAAAGGTTAAACCCTGTCAGCTGAATGCGCACATCACAGAGTAGCTTCAGAGAACAATTATGTCTAGTCTTTCTGGGAAGATATTTTCTCTTCTACATAGGCCTGAAACCGCTCTAAATACTCACTTCGAAATTCTACAAAAAGAATACTTCAACACTCTTCCATCAAAAGGAAGGTTGAACTCTGAGAGTTAAACGCACACATCACAGAGAAGTTTCTGAGAATTCTTCTGTCAAGGTTTATATGAGGAGATCCCGTTTCCAATGAAGGCCTCAAAAAAGTCCAAATATTTACCTGCAGATTCTACAAAAAGAGTGTTTCATAACTGGTCTATCAAAAGAAAGGTTAAACTCCGTGAGTTGAACGCACACATCACAAAGTTGTTTCTGAGAATCATTCTGTCTAGTCCTCCTACGAAGATATTGCCTTTTCTACCATAGGCCTCAAACGGCGCTAAATATCCACCTGGAAATTCTACAAAAACTGAGTTTCTAAGGTGCTCTATTGAAAGGAAGCTTCAACTCTGTGAGTTGAAGGTACACATCACAAAGAAGTTTCTGAGAATTCTTCTGTCTAGTTGTAAATGAAGAAATCACGTTTCACACGAAGGCCACAAAGAGGTCCAAATATCCACTTGCAGATTCCACAAAAAGAGTGCTTCAAAACGGCTCCATAAAGAGGAATGTTCAACACCGTGCGTTGAATGCAAATATCACAAATAAGTTTCTGACAATACTTCTGTCTAGTTTTTAGGTGAAGATATTTCCTTTCCCAATGTAGGCCTCAAAACGCTCTAAATATACACTTGCAAATTCCACAAAAAGAGTGTTTCCAAACTGCTCTCTCAAAGGAAGTTTAAACTCTGTCAGCTGAATGCGAGCATCACAAAACAGCTTCGGAGAATGAATCTGCCCAGTTTTTCTGTGAAGTTATTTCTTTTGCTGCCATAGACCTCACACCGCTGTAAAAATCCACTTGGAAATTCTACAAAAAGAGTATTTCAAAACTCTTCTATCGAAAGGAAGTTTCAACTCCATGAGTTAAATGCACATATCACAAATAATTCTCTGAGGATTCTTCTTTCAAGTTTTATATGATGAAATCCCGTTTCCAAAGATGGCCTCAGAAAACTCATAATATACACTTGCAGATTCTACAAAAAGAGTTTTTCAAAACTGCTCTACCAAAAGGAAGGTTAAACTCTGTGAGTTGAAGACACACATCACAGAGTAGTTTCTGAGAATCATTCTGTCTAGTTTTTCTATGAAGATATTGCCTTTTCCACCATAGGCCTCAAACGGCGCTAAATATCCACTTGGAAATTCTACAAAAAGAGAGTTACTAAACTGCTCTATCGAAAGGAAGCTTCAACGCTGCGAGTTGAAAGCACACATCACCAAGAAGTTTATGAGAATTCTTCTGTCTACTTTTGTATGAAGCAGTCACGTTTCAAACGAAGGCCACAAAGAGGTCCAAATATCCACTTGGAGATTCAACAAAAAGAGTTTTTCAAAACTGCTCCATCAAGAGGAATATTCAACTCTGAGAGTTGAAGGCAAGTATCTCAAAGTAGTTCCCGACAATGCTTCTGTCTAGATTTTATGTGAAGACATTCCCTTTTGTACCACAGGCCTGAAAGCACTCTAAATATAGAATTGCAAATTCCACAAAAAGAGTGTTGAAAACCGCTCTATCCAAAGAAAGGTTAAACTCTGTCAGCTGAATGCGCACATCACAGAGCAGCTTCAGAGAACAGTTATGTCTAGTTTTTCTGTGAAGATAGTTTCTCTTCTACATAGGCCTGAAACCGCTCTAAATATTCACTTGGAAATTCTACAAAAAGAATATTTCAACACTCTTCTATCAAAGGAAGGGTGAACTCTGAGAGTTAAATGCACACATCACAGAGAAGTTTCTGAGAATTCTTTTGTCAAGGTTTATATGAAGAAACCCCGTTTCCAATGAAGGCCTCAAAAAAGTCCAAATATTTACTTGCAGATTCCACAGAAAGAGTGTTTCATAACTGGTCTATCAAAAGAAAGGTTAAACTCAGTGAGTTGAACCCACACATCACAAAGTAGCTTCTGAGAATCATTCTGTCTAGTTTTTCTACGAAGATATTGCCTTTTCCACCATAGGCCTCAAACGGCGCTAAATATCCACCTGGAAATTCTACAGAAACTGAGTTTCAAAAGTGCTCTATTGAAAGGAAGCTTCAACTCTGTGAGTTGAAAGTACACATCACAAAGAAGTTTCTGAGAATTCTTCTGTCTAGTTGTAAATGAAGAAATAACGTTTCACACGAAGGCCACAAAGAGGTCCAAATATCCACTTGCAGATTCCACAAAAAGAGTGCTTCAAAACGGCTCCATCAAGAGGAATGTTCAACTCCGTGCGTTGAATGCAAATATCACAAATAAGTTTCTGACAATACTTCTGTCTAGTTTTTAGGTGAAGATATTTCCTTGCCTTCTGTAGGCCTCAAAACGCTCTAAATATACACTTGCAAATTCCACAAAAAGAGTGTTTCCAAACTGCTCTATCAAAGGAAGTTTAAACTCTGTCAGCTGAATGCAAGCATCACAAAACAGCTTCGGAGAATGAATCTGCCTAGTTTTTCTGTGAAGATATTTCTTTTGCTGCCATAGACCTCAAACCGCTGTAAAAATCCACTTGGGAATTCTACAAAAAGAGTATTTCAAAACTCTTCTATCGAAAGGAAGTTTCAACTCCATGAGTTAAATGCACATATCACAAATAATTTTCTGAGGATTCTTCTTTCAAGTTTTATATGAAGAAATCCCGTTTCCAAAGATGGCCTCAGAAAAGTCCCAATATACACTTGCAGATTCTACAAAAAGAGTTTTTCAAAACTGCTCTATCAAAAGGAAGGTTAAACTCTGTGAGTTGAAGGCACACATCACAGAGTAGTTTCTGAGAATCATTCTGTCTAGTTTTTCTATGAAGATATCGCCTTCTCCACCATAGGCCTCAAGCGGCGCTAAATATCCACTTGGAAATTCTACAAAAAGAGAGTTACAAGACTGCTCTATCGAAAGGAAGCTTCAACTCTGCGAGTTGAAAGCACACATCACGAAGAAGTTTATGAGAATTCTTCTGTCTACTTTTGTATGAAGCAGTCACGTTTCAAACGAAGGCCACAAAGAGGACCAAATATCCACTTGGAGATTCAACAAAAAGTGTTTTTCAAAACTGCTCCTTCAAGAGGAATATTCAACTCTGAGAGTTGAAGCCATGTATCACAAAGTAGTTACCGACAATGCTTCTGTCTAGATTTTATGTGAAGACATTCCCTTTTGTACCACAGGCCTGAAAGCACTCTAAATATAGAATTGCAAATTCCACAAAAAGAGTGTTTAAAACCGCTCTATCCAAAGAAAGGTTCAACTCTGTCAGCTGAAGGCGCACATCACAAAGTAGCTTCAGAGAACACTTATGTCTAGTTTTTCTGTGAAGATAGTTTCTCTTCTACATAGGCCTGAAACCGCTCTAAATATTCACTTGGAAATTCTACAAAAAGAATATTTCAACACTCTTCTATCCAAAGGAAGGTTGAACTCTGAGAGTTAAACGCACACATCACAGAGAAGTTTCTGAGAATTCTTCTGTCAAGGTTTATATGAAGAAATCCCGTTTCCAATGAAGGCCTCAAAAAAGTCCAAATATTTACTTGCAGATTCTACAAAAAGAGTGTTTCATAACTGGTCTATCAAAAGAAAGGTTAAACACCGTGAGTTGAACGCACACATCACAAAGTTGTTTCTGAGAATCATTTGTGTCTAGTTCTCCTACGAAGATATTGCCTTTTCTACCATAGGCCTCAAACGGCGCTAAATATCCACCTGGAAATTCTACCAAAACTGAGCTTCAAAAGTGCTCTATTGAAAGGAAGCTTCACCTCTGTGAGTTGAAGGTACACATCACAAAGAAGTTTCTGAGAATTCTTCTGTCTAGTTGTAAATGAAGAAATCACGTTTCCCACGAAGGCCACAAAGAGGTCCAAATATCCACTTGCAGATTCCACAAAAAGAGTGCTTCAAAACGGCTTCATCAAGAGGAATGTTCAACTCCGTGCGTTGAATGCAAATATCACAAATAAATTTCTGACAATACTTCTGTCTAGTTTTTATGTGAAGATATTTCCTTTCCTACTGTAGGCCTCAAAACGCTCTAAAGAGACACTTGCAAATTCCACAAAAAGAGGGTTTCAAAACTGCTCTATCAAAGGAAGTTTAAACTCTGTAAGCTGAATGCAAGCATCACAAACAGCTTCGGAGAATGAATCTGCCTAGTTTTTCTGGGAAGATATTTCTTTTTCTGCCATAGACCTCAAACCGCGGTAAAAATCCACTTGGAAATTCTACAAAAAGAGTATTTCAAAATTCTTCTATCGAAAGGAAGTCTCAACTCCATGAGTTAAATGCACATATCACAAATAATTGTCTGAGGATTCTTCTTTCAAGTTTTATATGAAGAAATCCCGTTTCCAAAGATGGCCTCAGAAAAGTCCCAATATACACTTGCAGATTCTACAAAAAGAGTTTTTCAAAACTGCTCTACCAAAAGGAAGGTTAAACTCTGTGAGTTGAAGGCACACATCACAAAGTAGTTTCTGAGAATCATTCTGTCTAGTTTTTCTATGAAGATATTGCCTTTTCCACCATAGGCCTCAGACGGCGCTAAATATCCACTTGGAAATTCTACAAAAAGAGAGTTACTAAACGGCTCTATCGAAAGGAAGCTTCAACGCTGCGAGTTGAAAGCACACATCACGAAGAAGTTTATGAGAATTCTTCTGTCTACTTTTGTATGAAGCAGTCACGTTTCAAACGAAGGCCAGAACGAGGTCCAAATATCCACTTGGAGATTCAACAAAAAGAGTTTTTCAAAACTGCTCCGTCAAGAGGAATATTCAACTCTGCGAGTTGGAGGCTGGTATCACAAAGTAGTTCCCGACAATGCTTCTGTCTAGATTTTATATGAAGACATTCCCTTTTGTACCACAGGCCTGAAAGCACTCTAAATATAGAATTGCAAATTCCACAAAAAGAGTGTTGAAAACCGCTCTATCCAAAGAAAGGTTAAACTCTGTCAGCTGAATGCGCACATCACAGAGCAGCTTCAGAGAACAATTATGTCTAGTTTTTCTGTGAAGATAGTTTCTCTTCTACATAGGCCTGAAACCGCTCTAAATATTCACTTGGTAATTCTACAAAAAGAATATTTCAACACTCTTCTATCAAAAGGAAGGTTGAACTCTGAGAGTTAAACGCACACATCACAGAGGAGTTTCTGAGAATTCTTATGTCAAGGTTTATATGAAGAAACCCCGTTTCCAATGAAGGCCTCAAAAAAGTCCAAATATTTACTTGCCGATTCCACAGAAAGAGTGTTTCATAACTGGTCTATCAAAAGAAAGGTTAAACTCAGTGAGTTGAACCCACACATCACAAAGTAGCTTCTGAGAATCATTCTGTCTAGTTCTCCTACGAAGATATTGCCTTTTCTACCATAGGCCTCAAACGGCGCAAAATATCCACCTGGAAATTCTACCAAAACTGAGTTTCAAAAGTGCTCTATTGAAAGGAAGCTTCACCTCTGTCAGTTGAAGGTACACATCACAAAGAAGTTTCTGAGAATTCTTCTGTCTAGTTGTAAATGAAGAAATCACGTTTCAAACGAAGGCCACAAAGAGGTCCAAATATCCACTTGCAGATTCTACAAAAAGAGTGTTTCAAAACGGCTCCATCAAGAGGAATGTTCAACTCTGTGCTTTGAATGCAAATATCGCAAATAAGTTTCTGACAATACTTCTGTCTAGTTTTTAGGTGAAGATATTTCCTTTCCTACTGTAGGCCTCAAAACGCTCTAAATATACACTTGCAAATTCCACAAAAAGAGTGTTTCAAAACTGCTCTATCAAAGGAAGTTTAAACTCTGTCAGCTGAATGCAAGCATCACAAAACAGCTTCGGAGAATGAATCTGCCTAGTTTTTCTGTGAAGATATTTCTTTTTCTGCCATAGACCTCAAACCGCTGTAAAAATCCACTTGGAAATTCTACAAAAAGAGTATTTCAAAGCTCTTCTATCGAAAGGAAGTTTCAGCTCCATGAGTTAAATACACATATCACAAATAATTTTCTGAGGATTCTTCTTTCAAGTTTTATATGAAGAAATCCCGTTTCCAAAGATGGCCTCAGAAAAGTCCCAATATACACTTGCAGATTCTACAAAAAGAGTTTTTCAAAACTGCTCTATCAAAAGGAAGGTTAAACTCTGTGAGTTGAAGGCACACATCACAGAGTAGTTTCTGAGAATCATTCTGTCTAGTTTTTCTATGAAGATATTGCCTTTTCCACCATAGGCCTCAAACGGCGCTAAATATCCACTTGGAAATTCTTCAATAAGAGAGTTACAAGGCTGCTCTATCGAAAGGAAGCTTCAACTCTGCGAGTTGAAAGCACACATCACAAAGAAGTTTATGGGAATTCTTCTGTCTACTTTTGTATGAAGCAGTCACGTTTCAAACGAAGGCCACAAAGAGGTCCAAATATCCACTTGGAGATTCAACAAAAAGAGTTTTTCAAAACTGCTCCGTCAAGAGGAATATTCAACTATGAGAGTTGAAGGCAGGTATCCCAAAGTACTTCCCGACAATGCTTCTGTCTAGATTTTATGTGAAGACATTCCCTTTTGTACCACAGGCCTGAAAGCACTCTAAATATAGAATTGCAAATTCCACAAAAAGTGTGTTGAAAACCGCTCTATCCAAAGAAAGGTTAAACTCTGTCAGCTGAATGCGCACATCACAGAGTAGCTTCAGAGAACAATTATGTCTAGTTTTTCCGTGAAGATAGTTTCTCTTCTACGTAGCCCTGAGACCGCTCTAAATATTCACTTGGAAATTCTGCAAAAAGAATATTTCAACACTCTTCTATCAAAAGGAAGGTTGAACTCTGAGAGTTAAACGCACACATCACAGAGAAGTTTCTGAGAATTCTTCTGTCAAGGTTTCTATGAAGAAATCCCGTTTCCAATGAAGGCCTCAAAAAAGTCCAAATATTTACTTGCAGATTCTACAAAAAGAGTGTTTCATAACTGGTCTATCAAAAGAAAGGTTAAACTCAGTGAGTTGAACCCACACATCACAAAGTAGTTTCTGAGAATCATTTCTGTCTAGTTTTCCTACGAAGATATTGCCTTTTCTACCATAGGCCTCAAACGGCGCTAAATATCCACCTGGAAATTCTACAAAAACTGAGTTTCAAAAGTGCTCTATTGAAAGGAAGCTTCAACTCTGTGAGTTGAAGGTACACATCACAAAGAAGCTTCTGAGAATTCTTCTGTCTAGTTGTAAATGAAGAAATCACGTTTCACACGAAGGCCACAAAGAGGTCCAAATATCCACTTGCAGATTCTACAAAAAGAGTGTCTCAAAACGGCTCCATCAAGATGAATGTTCAATTCTGTGCGTTGAATGCAAATATCACAAATAAGTTTCTGACAATACTTCCCGCTTAGTTTTTATGTGAAGATATTTCCTTTCCTACTGTAGGCCTCAAAACGCTCTAAAGAGACACTTGCAAATTCCACAAAAAGAGGGTTTCAAAACTGCTCTATCAAAGTAAGTTTAAACTCTGTAAGCTGAATGCAAGCATCACAAAACAGCTTCGGAGAATGAATCTGCCTAGTTTTTCTGTGAAGATATTTCTTTTTCTGCCATAGACCTCAAACCGCTGTAAAAATCCACTTGGAAATTCTACAAAAAGGGTATTTCAAAGCTCTTCTATCGAAAGGAAGTTTCAGCTCCATGAGTTAAATGCACATATCACAAATAATTTTCTGAGGATTCTTCTTTCAAGTTTTATATGAAGAAATCCCGTTTCCAAACATGGCCTCAGAAAAGTCCCAATATACACTTGCAGATTCTACAGAAAGAGTTTTTCAAAACTGCTCTATCAACAGAAAGGTTAAACTCTGTGAGTTGAAGGCACACATCACAAAGTAGTTTCTGAGAATCATTCTGTCTAGTTTTTCTATGAAGATATTGCCTTTTCCACCATTGGCCTTAAACGGCGCTAAATATCCACTTGGAAATTCTACAAAAAGAGAGTTACAGAAGTGCTCTATCGAAAGGAAGCTTCAACGCTGCGAGTTGAAAGCACACATCACGAAGAAGTTTATGAGAATTCTTCTGTCTACTTTTGTATGAAGCAGTCACGTTTCAAACGAAGGCCACAAAGAGGTCCAAATATCCACTTGGAGATTCAACAAAAAGAGTTTTTCAAAACTGCTCCATCAAGAGGAATATTCAACTCTGAGAGTTGAAGGCAAGTATCTCAAAGTAGTTCCCGACAATGCTTCTGTCTAGATTTTATGTGAAGACATTCCCTTTCGTACCACAGGCCTGAAAGCACTCTAAATATAGAATTGCAAATTCCACAAAAAGAGTGTTTAAATCCGATCTATCCAAAGAAAGCTTAAACTCTGTCAGCTGAATGCGCACATCACAGAGTGGCTTCAGAGAACAATTATGTCTAGTTTTTCTGTGAAGATAGTTTCTCTTCTACATAGGCCTGAAACCGCACTAAATATTCACTTGGAAATTCTACAAAAAGAATATTTCAACACTCTTCTATCAAAAGGTAGGTTGAACTCTGAGAGTTAAATGCACACATCACAGAGAAGTTTCTGAGAATTCTTCTGTCAAGGTTTATATGAAGAAACCCCGTTTCCAATGAAGGCCTCAAAAAAGTCCAAATATTTACTTGCCGATTCCACAGAAAGAGTGTTTCGTAACTGGTCTATCAAAAGAAAGGTTAAACTCAGTGAGTTCAACCCACACATCACAAAGTAGCTTCTGAGAATCCTTCTGTCTAGTTTTCCTACGAAGATATTGCCTTTTCTACCATAGGCCTCAAACGGCGCTAAATATCCACCTGGAAATTCTACAAAAACTGAGTTTCAAAAGTGCTCTATTGAAAGGAAGCTTCAACTCTGTGAGTTGAAGGTACACATCACAAAGAAGTTTCTGAGAATTCTTCTGTCTAGTTGTAAATGAAGAAATCACGTTTCAAAAGAAGGCCACAAAGAGGTCCAAATATCCACCTGCAGATTCTACAAAAAGAGTGTTTCATAACTGCTCCATCAAGAGGAATGTTCAACTCTGTGCGTTGAATGCAAATATCACAAGTAAGTTTCTGAGAATACTTCTGTGTAGTTTTTATGTGAAGATATTTCCTTTCCTACTGTAGGCCTCAAAACTCTCTAAATATACACTTACAAATTACACAAAAAGAGTGTTTCCAAACTGCTCTATCAAAGGAAGTTTAAACTCTGTCCGCTTAATGCAAGTATCACAAAACAGCTTCAGAGAAAGAATCTGCCTAGTTTTTCTGTGAAGATATTTCTTTTGCTGCCATAGACCTCAAACCGCTGTAAAAATCCACTTGGGAATTCTACAAAAAGAGTATTTCAAAACTCTTCTATCGAAAGGAAGTTTCAACTCCATGAGTTAAATGCACATATCACAAATAATTTTCTGAGGATTCTTCTTTCAAATTTTATATGAAGAAATCCCGTTTCCAAAGATGGCCTCAGAAAAGTCCCAAGATACACTTGCAGATTCTACAAAAAGAGTTTTTCAAAACTGCTCTATCAAAAGAAAGGTTAAACTCTGTGAGTTGAAGGCACACATCACAAAGTAGTTTCTGAGAATCATTCTGTCTAGTTTTTCTATGAAGATATTGCCTTTTCCACCATAGGCCTCAAACGGCGCTAAATATCCACTCGGAAATTCTACAAAAAGAGAGTTACAAAACTGCTCTATCGAAAGGAAGCTTCAGCTCCGCGAGTTGAAAGCACACATCGCGAGGAAGGTGATGAGAATTCTTCTGTCTACTTTTGTATGAAGCAGTCACGTTTCAAACGAAGGCCACAAAGAGGTCCAAATATCCACTTGGAGATTCAACAAAAGGAGTTTTTCAAAACTGCTCCATCAAGAGGAATATTCAACTCTGAGAGTTGAAGGCAGGTATCACAAAGTAGTTCCCGACAATGCTTCGGTCTACATTTTATGTGAAGACATTCCCTTTTGTACGACAGGCCTGAAAGCACTATAAATATAGAATTGCAAATTCCCCAAAAAGAGGGTTTAAAACCGCTCTATCCAAAGAAAGGTTAAACTCTGTCAGCTGAATGCGCACATCACAGAGTAGCTTCAGAGAACAATTATGTCTAGTTTTTCTTTGAAGATATTTTATCTTCTACATAGGCCTGAAACCGTTCCAAATATTCACTTGGAAATTCTACAAAAAGAATATTTCAACAGTCTTCTCTCAAAAGGAAGGTTGCACTCTGAGAGTTAAACGCACACATCACAGAGAAGTTTCTGAGAATTCTTCTGTCAAGGTTTATATGAAGAAACCCCGTTTCCAATGAAGGCCTCAAAAAAGTCCAAATATTTACTTGCCGATTCCACAGAAAGAGTGTTTCATAACTGGTCTATCAAAAGAAAGGTTAAACTCAGTGAGTTGAACCCACACATCACAAAGTAGCTTCTGAGAATCATTCTGTCTAGTTTTTCTACGAAGATATTGCCTTTTCCACCATAGGCCTCAAACGGCGCTAAATATCCACCTGGAAATTCTACAGAAACTGAGTTTCAAAAGTGCTCTATTGAAAGGAAGCTTCAACTCTGTGAGTTGAAAGTACACATCACAGAGAAGTTTCTGAGAATTCTTCTGTCTAGTTGTAAATGAAGAAATCACGTTTCCCACGAAGGCCACAAAGAGGTCCAAATATCCACTTGCAGATTCCACAAAAAGAGTGCTTCAAAACGGCTCCATCAAGAGGAATGTTCAACTCCGTGCGTTGAATGCAAATATCACAAATAAGTTTCTGACAATACTTCTGTCTAGTTTTTATGTGAAGATATTTCCTTTCCTACTGTAGGCCTCAAAACGCTCTAAATATACACTTTCAAATTCCACAAAAAGAGTGTTTCCAAACTGCTCTATCAAAGGAAGTTTAAACTCTGTCAGCTTAATGCACGCATCACAAAACAGCTTCGGAGAATGAATCTGCCTAATTTTTCTGTGAAGATATTTCTTTTTCTGCCATAGACCTCAAACCGCTGTAAAAATCCACTTGGAAATTCTACAAAAAGAGTATTTCAAAGCTCTTCTATCGAAAGGAAGTTTCAGCTCCATCAGTTAAATGCACATATCACAAATAATTTTCTGAGGATTCTTCTTTCAAGTTTTATATGAAGAAATCCCGTTTCCAAAGATGGCCTCAGAAAAGTCCCAATATACACTTGCAGATTCTACAAAAAGAGTTTTTCAAAACTGCTCTATCAAAAGGAAGGTTAAACTCTGTGAGTTGAAGGCACACATCACAGAGTAGTTTCTGAGAATCATTCTGTCTAGTTTTTCTATGAAGATATTGCCTTTTCCACCATTGGCCTCAAACGGCGCTAAATATCCACTTGGAAATTCTACAAAAAGAGAGTTACAGAACTGCTCTATCGAAAGGAAGCTTCAACGCTGCGAGTTGAAAGCACACATCACGAAGAAGTTTATGAGAATTCTTCTGTCTACTTTTGTATGAAGCAGTCACATTTCAAACGAAGGCCACAAAGAGGTCCAAATATCCACTTGGAGATTCAACAAAAAGAGTTTTTCAAAACTGCTCCATCAAGAGGAATATTCAACTCTGAGAGTTGAAGGCAGGTATCACAAAGTAGTTTCCGACAATGCTTCTGTCTAGATTTTATGTGAAGACATTCCCTTTTGTACCACAGGCCTGAAAGCACTCAAAGTATAGAATTGCAAATTCCAAAAAAAAGAGTGTTTAAAACCGCTCTATCCAAAGAAAGGTTAAACTCTGTCAGCTGAATGCGCACATCACAGAGCAGCTTCAGAGAACAATTATGTCTAGTTTCTCTGTGAAGATATTTTCTCTTCTACATAGGCTTGAAACCGCTCTAAATATTCACTTGGAAATTCTACAAAAAGAATATTTCAACACTCTTCTATCAAAAGGAAGGTTGAACTCTGAGAGTTAAATGCACACATCACAAAGAAGTTTCTGGGGATTCTTCTGTCAAGGTTTATATGAGGAGATCCCGTTTCCAATGAAGGCCTCAAAAAAGTCCAAATATTTACTTGCAGATTCTACAAAAAGAGTGTTTCATAACTGGTCTATCAAAAGAAAGGTTAAACTCCGTGAGTTGAACGCACACATCACAAAGTTGTTTCTGAGAATCATTCTGTCTAGTTCTCCTACGAAGATATTGCCTTTTCTACCATAGGCCTCAAACGGCGCTAAATATCCACCTGGAAATTCTACCAAAACTGAGTTTCAAAAGTGCTCTATTGAAAGGAAGCTTCACCTCTGTCAGTTGAAGGTACACATCACAAAGAAGTTTCTGAGAATTCTTCTGTCTAGTTGTAAAAGCAGAAATCAAGTTTCAAACGAAGGCCACAAAGAGGTCCAAATATCCTGCTGCAGATTCTGCAAAAAGAGGGTTTCAAATCTGCTCCATCAAGAGGAATGTTCAACTCTGTGCGTTGAATGCAAATATCACAAATAAGTTTCTGACAATACTTCTGTCTAGTTTTTATGTGAAGATATTTCCTTTCATACTGTAGGCCTCAAAACGCTCTAAATATACACTTGCAAATTCCACAAAAAGAGTGTTTCCAAACTGCTCTATCAAAGGAAGTTTAAACTCTGTCAGCTTAATGCAAGCATCACAAAACAGCTTCAGAGAATGAATCTGCCTAGTTTTTCTGTGAAGATATTTCTTTTTCCGCCATAGACCTCAAACCGCTGTAAAAATCCACTTGGAAATTCTACAAAAAGAGTATTTCAAAACGCTTCTATCGAAAGGAAGTTTCAACTCCATGGGTTAAATGCACATATCTCAAATAATTTTCTGAGGATTCTTCTTTCAAGTTTTATATGAAGAAATCCCGTTTCCAAAGATGGCCTCAGAAAAGTCCCAATATACACTTGCAGATTCTACAAAAAGAGTTTTTCAAAACTGCTCTATGAAAAGGAAGGTTAAACTCTGTGAGTTGAAGGCACACATCACAAAGTAGTTTCTGAGAATCATTCTGACTAGTTTTTCTATGAAGATATTGCCTTTTCCACCATATTCCTCAAACGGCGCTAAATATCCACTTGGAAATTCTACAAAAAGAGAGTTACTAAACTGCTCTATCGAAAGGAAGCTTCAACGCTGCGACTTGAAAGCACACATCACGAAGAAGTTTATGAGAATTCTTCTGTCTAGTTTTCTATGAAGAAGTCACGTTTCAAACGAAGGCCACAAAGAGGTCCAAATATCCACTTGTAGATTCAACAAAAAGACTTTTTCAAAACTGCTCCATCAAGAGGAATATTCAACTCTGAGAGTTGAAGGCAGGTATCACAAAGTGGTTTCCGACAATGCTTCTGTCTAGATTTTATGTGAAGACATTCCCTTTTGTACCACAGGCCTGAAAGCACTCTAAATATAGAATTGCAAATTCCACAAAAAGAGTGTTTAAAACCGCTCGATCGAAAGAAAGGTTAAAGTCTGTCAGCTGAATGCGCACATCACAGAGCAGCTTCAGAGAACAATTATGTCTAGTTTTTCTGTGAAGATAGTTTCTCTTCTACATAGGCCTGAAACCACTCTAAATATTCACTTGGTAATTCTACAAAAAGAATATTTCAACACTCTTCTATCCAAAGGAAGGTTGAACTCTGAGAGTTAAACGCACACATCACAGAGAAGTTTCTGAGAATTCTTCTGTCAAGGTTTATATGAAGAGATCCCGTTTCCAATGAAGGCCTCAGAAAAGTCCAAATATTTACTTGCAGATTCCACAAAAAGTGTGTTTCATAACTGGTCTATCAAAAGAAAGGTTAAACTCCGTGAGTTGAACGCACACATCACAAAGTTGTTTCTGAGAATCATTCTGTCTAGTCCTCCTACGAAGATATTGCCTTTTCTACCATAGGCCTCAAACGGCGCTAAATATCCACCTGGAAATTCTACAAAAACTGAGTTTCTAAGGTACTCTATTGAAAGGAAGCTTCAACTCTGTGAGTTGAAGGTACACATCACAAAGAAGTTTCTGAGAATTCTTCTGTCTAGTTGTAAATGAAGAAATCACGTTTCAAACGAAGGCCACAAAGAGGTCCAAATATCCACCTGCAGATTCTACAAAAAGAGTGATTCAAAACTGCTCCATCAAGAGGAGTGTTCAACTCTGTGCATTGAAGGCAAATATCACAAGTAAGTTTCTGACAATACTTCTGTCTAGTTTTTATGTGAAGATATTTCCTTTCCTACTGTAGGCCTCAAAACGCTCTAAAGAGACACTTGCAAATTCCACAAAAAGAGGGTTTCAAAACTGCTCTATCAAAGGAAGTTTACACTTTGTCAGCTGAATGCAAGCATCACAAAACAGCTTCGGAGAATGAATCTGCCTAGTTTTTCTGTGAAGATATTTCTTTTGCTGCCATAGACGTCAAACCGCTGTGAAAATCCACTTGGAAATTCTACAAAAAGAGTATTTCAAAACTCTTCTGTCGAAAGGAAGTTTCAACTCCATGAGTTAAAGGCACAGATCACAAATAATTTTCTGAGGATTCTTCTTTGAAGTTTTATATGAAGAAATCCCGTTTCCAAAGATGGCCTCAGATAAGTCCCAATATACACTTGCAGATTCTACAAAAAGAGTTTTTCAAAACTGCTCTATCAAAAGAAAGGTTAAACTCTGTGAGTTGAAGGCACACATCACAAAGTAGTTTCTGAGAATCATTCTGTCTAGTTTTTCTATGAAGATATTGCCTTTTCCACCATAGGCCTCAAACGGCGCTAAATATCCACTTGGAAATTCTACAAAAAGAGAGTTACTAAACTGCTCTATCGAAAGGAAGCTTCAACGCTGCGAGTTGAAAGCACACATCACCAAGAAGTTTATGAGAATTCTTCTGTCTAGTTTTGTATGAAGAAGTCACGTCTCAAACGAAGGCCACAAAGAGGTCCAAATATCCACTTGGAGATTCAACAAAAAGAGTTTTTCAAAACTGCTCCGTCAAGATTAATATTCAACTCTGAGAGTTGAGGGCAGGTATCACAAACAAGTTTCCGACAACGCTTCTGTCTAGATTTTATGTGAAGACATTCCCTTTTGTACCACAGGCCTGAAAGCACTCTAAATATAGAATTGCAAATTCCACAAAAAGAGTGTTGAAAACCGCTCTATCCAAAGAAAGGTTAAACTCTGTCAGCTGAATGCGCACATCACAGAGCAGCTTCAGAGAACAATTGTGTCTAGTTTTTCTGTGGAGATATTTTCTCTTCTACATAGGCCTGAAACCGCTCTAAATATTCACTTGGAAATTCTACAAAAAGAATATTTCAACACTCTTCTATCAAAAGGAAGGTTGAACTCTGAGAGTTAAACGCACACATCACAGAGAAGTTTCTGAGAATTCTTCTGTCAAGGTTTATATGAAGAAAGCCCGTTTCCAATGAAGGCCTCAAAAAAGTCCAAATATTTACTTGCCGATTCCACAGAAAGAGGGTTTCATAACTGGTCTATCAAAAGAAAGGTTAAACTCAGTGAGTTGAACCCACACATCACAAAGTAGCTTCTGAGAATCATTCTGTCTAGTTCTCCTACGAAGATATTGCCTTTTCTACCATAGGCCTCAAACGGCGCTAAATATCCACCTGGAAATTCTACCAAAACTGAGTTTCAAAAGTGCTCTATTGAAAGGAAGCTTCACCTCTGTGGGTTGAAGGTACACATCACAAAGAAGTTTCTGAGAATTCTTCTGTCTACTTTTGTATGAAGCAGTCACGTTTCAAACGAAGGCCAGAAAGAGGTCCAAATATCCACTTGGAGATTCAACAAAAAGAGTTTTTCAAAACTGCTCCATCAAGAGGAATATTCAACTCTGAGATTTGAAGGCAGGTATCACAAAGTACTTCCCGACAATGCTTCTGTCTAGATTTTATGTGAAGGCATTCCCTTTTGTACCACAGGCCTGAAAGCACTCTAAATATAGAATTGCAAATTCCACAAAAACAGTGTTTCCAAACTGCTCTATCAAAGGAAGTTTAAACTCTGTCAGCTTAATGGAAGCATCACAAAACAGCTTCGGAGAATGAATCTGCCTAGTTTTTCTGTGAAGATATTCCTTTTTCTGCCATAGACCTCAAACCGCTGTAAAAATCCACTTGGAAATTCCACAAAAAGAGTATTTCAAAACTCTTCTATCGAAAGGAAGTTTCAACTCCATGAGTTAAATGCACATATCACAAATAATTTTCTGAGGATTCTTCTTTCAAGTTTTATATGAAGAAATCCCGTTTCCAAAGATGGCCTCAGAAAAGTCCCAATATACACTTGCAGATTCTACAAAAAGAGTTTTTCAAAACTGCTCTATCAAAAGAAAGGTTAAACTCGGTGAGTTGAAGGCACACATCACACAGTAGTTTCTGAGACTCATTCTGTCTAGTTTTTCTATGAAGATATCGCCTTCTCCACCATAGGCCTCAAACGGCGCTAAATATCCACTTGGAAATTCTACAAAAAGAGAGTTACAAGACTGCTCTATCGAAAGGAAGCTTCAACTCTGCTAGTGGAAAGCACACATCACGAAGAAGTTTATGAGAATTCTTCTGTCTACTTTTGTATGAAGAAGTCACGTCTCAAACGAAGGCCACAAAGAGGTCCAAATATCCACTTGGAGATTCAACAAAAAGAGTTTTTCAAAACTGCTCCATCAAGAGGAATGTTCAACTCTGAGAGTTGAAGGCAGGTATCACAAAGTAGTTTCCGACAATGCTTCTGTCTAGATTTTATGTGAAGACATTCCCTTTTGTACCACAGGTCTGAAAGCACTCTAAGTATAGAATTGCAAATTCCACAAAAAGAGTGTTTAAAACCGCTCTATCCAAAGAAAGGTTAAACTCTGTCAGCTGAATGCGCACATCACAGAGCAGCTTCAGAGAACAATTATGCCTAGTTTTTCCGTGAAGATAGATTCTCTTCTACATAGGCCTGAGGCCGCTCTAAATATTCCTTTGGAAATTCTGCAAAAAGAATATTTCAACACTCTTCTATCAAAAGGAAGGTGGAACTCTGAGTGGTAAACGCACACATCACAGATTAGTTTCTGAGAATTCTTCTGTCAAGGTTTATACGAGGAAACCCCGTTTCCAATGAAGGCCTCAAAAAAGTCCAAATATTTACTTGCAGATTCCACAAAAAGAGTGTTTCATAACTGGCCTATCAAAACAAAGGTTAAACTCAGTGAGTTGAACCCACACATCACAAAGTAGCTTCTGAGAATCATTCTGTCTAGTTTTTCTACGAAGATATTGCCTTTTCCACCATAGGCCTCAAACGGCGCTAAATATCCACCTGGAAATTCTACAGAAACTGAGTTTCAAAAGTGCTCTATTGAAAGGAAGCTTCAACTCTGTGAGTTGAAAGTACACATCACAAAGAAGTTTCTGAGAATTCTTCTGTCTAGTTGTAAATGAAGAAATCACGTTTCACACGATGGCCACAAAGAGGTCCAAATATCCACTTGCAGATTCCACAAAAAGAGTGCTCAAAACGGCTCCATCAAGAGGAATGTTCAACTCCGTGCGTTGAATGCAAATATCACAAATAAGTTTCTGACAATACTTCTGTCTAGTTTTTAGGTGAAGATATTTCCTTTCCTACTGCAGGCCTCAAAACGCTCTAAATATACACTTGCAAATTCCACAAAAAGAGTGTTTCAAAACTGCTCTATCAAAGGAAGTTTAAACTCTGTCAGCTGAATGCAAGCGTCACAAAACAGCTTCGGAGAATGGATCTGCCTAGTTTTTCTGTGAAGATATTCCTTTTGCAGCCATAGACCTCAAACCGCTGTAAAAATCCACTTGGGAATTCTACAAAAAGAGTATTTCAAAACTCTTCTATCGAAAGGAAGTTTCAACTCCATGAGTTAAATGCACATATCACAAATAATTTTCTGAGGATTCTTCTTTCAAGATTTATATGAAGAAATCCCGTTTCCAAAGATGGCCTCAGAAAAGTCCCAATATACACTTGCAGATTCTACAAAAAGAGTTTTTCAAAACTGCTCTATCAAAAGGAAGGTTAAACTCTGTGAGTTGAAGGCACACATCACAGAGTAGTTTCTGAGAATCATTCTGTCTAGTTTTTCTAGGAAGATATCGCCTTCTCCACCATAGTCCTCAAACGGCGCTAAATATCCACTTGGAAATTCTACAATAAGAGAGTTACTAGACTGCTCTATCGAAAGGAAGCTTCAACTCTGCGAGTGGAAAGCACACATCACGAAGAAGTTTATGAGAATTCTTCTGTCTACTTTTGTATGAAGCAGTCACGTTTCAAACGAAGGCCACAAAGAGGTCCAAATATCCACTTGGAGATTCAAAAAAAGAGTTTTTCAATACTGCTCCATCAAGAGGAATATTCAACACTGAGAGTTGAAGGCAGGTATCCCAAAGTAGTTCCCGACAATGCTTCTGTCTAGATTTTATGTGAAGACATTCCCTTTTGTACCACAGGCCTGAAAGCACTCTAAATATAGAATTGCAAATTCCACAGAAAGAGTGCTTAAAACCGCTCTATCCAAAGAAAGGTTAAACTCTGTCCGCTGAAGGCGCACATCACAAAGTAGCTTCAGAGAACAATTATGTCTAGTTTTTCCGTGAAGATAGTTTCTCTTCCACATAGGCCTGAGACCGCTCTAAATATTCACTTGGAAATTCTGCAAAAAGAATATTTCAACACTCTTCTATCAAAAGGAAGGTTGAACTCTGAGAGTTAAATGCACACATCACAGAGAAGTTTCTGAGAATTCTTCTGTCAAGGTTTATATGAAGAAACCCCGTTTCCAATGAAGGCCTCAAAAAAGTCGAAATATTTACTTGCCGATTCCACAGAAAGAGTGTTTCATAACTGGTCTATCAAAAGAAAGGTTAAACTCAGTGAGTTGAACCCACGCATCCCAAAGTAGCTTCTGAGAATCATTCTGTCTAGTTTTCCTACGAAGATATTGCCTTTTCTACCTTAGGCCTCAAACGGCGCTAAATATCCACCTGGAAATTCTACAAAAACTGAGTTTCAAAAGTGCTCTATTGAAAGGAAGCTTCAACTCTGTGAGTTGAAGGTACACATCACAAAGAAGTTTCTGAGAATTCTTCTGTCTAGTTGTCAATGAAGAAATCACGTTTCACACGAAGGCCACAAAGTGGTCCAAATATCCACTTGCAGATTCTACAAAAAGAGTGTCTCAAAACGGCTCCATCAAGAGGAATGTTCAACTCTGTGCGTTGAATGCAAATATCACAAATAAGTTTCTGACAATACTTCTGTGTAGTTTTTATGTGAAGATATTTCCTTTCCTACTGTAGGCCTCAAAACGCTCTAAAGATACACTTGCAAATTCCACAAAAAGAGTGTTTCCAAACTGCTCTATCAAAGGAAGTTTAAACTCTGTCCGCTTAATGCAAGCATCACAAAACAGCTTCGGAGAATGAATCTGCCTAGTTTTTCTGTGAAGATATTCCTTTTGCTGCCATAGACCTCAAACCGCTGTAAAAATCCACTTGGAAATTCTACAAAAAGAGTATTTCAAAACTCTTCTATCGAAAGGAAGTTTCAACTCCATGAGTTCAATGCACATATCACAAATAATTTTCTGAGGATTCTTCTTTCAAGTTTTATATGAAGAAATCCCGTTTCCAAAGATGGCCTCAGAAAAGTCCAGATATACACTTTCAGATTCTACAAAAAGAGTTTTTCAAAACTGCTAAATCAAAAGAAAGGTCAAACTCTGTGAGTTGAAGGCACACATCACACAGTAGTTTCTGAGGATCATTCTGTCTAGTTTTTCTATGAAGATATCGCCATCTCCACCATAGGCCTCAAACGGCGCTAAATATCCACTTGGAAATTCTACAAAAAGAGAGTTACAAGACTGCTCTATCGAAAGGAAGCTTCAACTCTGCGAGTTGAAAGCACACATCACGAAGAAGTTTATGAGAATTCTTCTGTCTAGTTTTGTAGGAAGAAGTCACGTCTCAAACGAAGGCCACAAAGAGGTCCAAATATCCACTTGGAGATTCAACAAAAAGCGTTTTTCAAAACTGCTCCGTCAAGAGGAATATTCAACTCTGAGAGTTGAAGGCAGGTATCACAAAGTAGTTTCCGACAACGCTTCTGTCTAGATTTTATGTGAAGACATTCCCTTTTGTACCACATGCCTGAAAGCCCTCTATATATAGAATTGCAAATTCCACAAAATATTGTTGAAAACCGCTCTATCCAAAGAAAGGTTAATATCTGTCAGCTGAATGCGCACATCACAGAGCAGCTTCAGAGAACAGTTATGTCTAGTTTTTCTGTGAAGATAGATTCTCTTCTACATAGGCCTGAAACCGCTCTAAATATTCACTTGGAAATTCTACAAAAACAATATTTCAACACTCTTCTATCAAAAGGAAGGTTGAACTCTGAGAGTTAAACGCACACATCACAGAGAAGTTTCTGAGAATTCTTCTGTTAAGGCTTATATGAAGAAATCCCGTTTCCAATGAAGGCCTCAAGAAAGTCCAAATATTTACTTGCAGATTCTACAAAAAGAGTGTTTCATAACTGGTCTATCAAAAGAAAGGTTAAACTCAGTGAGTTGAACCCACACATCACAAAGTAGTGTCTGAGAATCATTCTGTCTAGTTCTCCTACGAAGATATTGCCTTTTCTACCATAGGCCTCAAACGGCGCTAAATATCCACCTGGAAATTCTACCAAAACTGAGCTTCAAAAGTGCTCTATTGAAAGGAAGCTTCACCTCTGTGAGTTGAAGGTACACATCACAAAGAAGTTTCTGAGAAGTCTTCTGTCTAGTTGTAAATGCAGAAATCACGTTTCAAACGAAGGCCACAAAGAGGTCCAAATATCCAGCTGCAGATTCTGCAAAAAGAGGGTTTCAAATCTGCTCCATCAAGAGGAATGTTCAACTCTGTGCGTTGAATGCAAATATCACAAATAAGTTTCTGACAATACTTCTGTCTAGTTTTTATGTGAAGTTATTTCCTTTCCTACTGTAGGCCTCAAAACGCTCTAAATATACACTTGCAAATTCCACAAAAAGAGTGTTTCCAAACTGCTCTATCAAAGGAAGTTTAAACTCTGTCAGCTTAATGCAAGCATCACAAAACAGCTTCGGAGAATGAATCTGCCTAGTTTTTCTGTGAAGATATTTCTTTTTCTGCCATAGACCTCAAACCGCTCTGAAAATCCACTTGGAAATCCTACAAAAAGAGTATTTCAAAACTCTTCTGTCGAAAGGAAGTTTCAACTCCACGAGTTAAATGCACATATCACAAATAATTTTCTGAGGATTCTTCTTTCAAGTTTTATATGAAGAAATCCCGTTTCCAAAGATGGCCTCAGAAAAGTCCCAAGATACACTTGCAGATTCTACCAAAAGAGTTTTTCAGAACTGCTCTATCAAAAGAAAGGTTAAACTCTGTGAGTTGAAGGCACACATCACAAAGTAGTTTCTGAGAATCATTCTGTCTAGTTTTTCTATGAAGATATTGCCTTTTCCACCATTGGCCTCAAACGGCGTTAAATATCCACTTGGAAATTCTACATAAAGAGAGTTAAAAAACTGCTCTATCGAAAGGAAGCTTCAACGCTGCGAGTTGAAAGCACACATCACGAAGAAGTTTATGAGAATTCTTCTGTCTAATTTTGTATGAAGCAGTCACGTTTCAAACGAAGGCCACAAAGAGGTCCAAATATCCACTTGGAGATTCAACAAAAAGAGTTTTTCAAAACTGCTCCATCAAGAGGAATATTCAACTCTGAGAGTTGAAGGCAGGTATCCCAAAGTAGTTCCCGACAATGCTTCTGTCTAGATTTTATGTGAGGACATTCCCTTTTGTACCACAGGCCTGAAAGCACTCTAAATATAGAATTGCAAATTCCACAAAAAGAGTGTTTAAAACCGCTCTATCCAAAGAAAGGTTAAACTCTGTAAGCTGAATGCGCACATCACAAAGTAGCTTCAGAGAACAATTATGTCTAGTTTTTCTGTGAAGATAGTTTCTCTTCTACATAGGCCTGAAACTGCTCTAAATATTCACTTGGAAATTCTACAAAAAGAATATTTCAACACTCTTCTATCAAAAGGAAGGTTGAACTCTGAGAGTTAAACGCACACATCACAGAGAAGTTTCTGAGAATTCTTCTGTCAAGGTTTATATGAAGAAACCCCGTTTCCAATGAAGGCCTCAAAAAAGTCCAAATATTTACTTGCAGATTCCACAAAAAGAGTGTTTCATAACTGGTCTATCAATAGAAAGGTGAAACTCAGTGAGTTGAACCCACACATCACAAAGTAGCTTCTGAGAATCATTCTGTCTAGTTTTTCTACGAAGATATTGCCTTTTCCACCATAGGCCTCAAACGGCGCTAAATATCCACCTGGAAATTCTACAGAAACTGAGTTTCAAAAGTGCTCTATTGAAAGGAAGCTTCAACTCTGTGAGTTGAAAGTACACATCACAAAGAAGTTTCTGAGAATTCTTCTGTCTAGTTGTAAATGAAGAAATCACGTTTCAAACGAAGGCCACAAAGAGGTCCAAATATCCACTTGCAGATTCTACAAAAAGAGTGTTTCAAAACTGCTCCATCACGAGGAATGTTCAACTCTGTGCGTTGAATGCAAATATCACAAATAAGTTTCTGACAATACTTCTGTCTAGTTTTTACGTGAAGATATTTCCTTTCCTACTGTAGGCCTCAAAACGCTCTAAATATACACTTGCAAATTCCACAAAAAGAGTGTTTCAAAACTGCTCTATCAAAGGAAGTTTAAACTCTGTATGCCTAATGCAAGCATCACAAAACAGCTTCGGAGAATGAATCTGCCTTGTTTTTCTGTGAAGATATTTCTTTTTCTGCCATAGACCTCAAACCGCTGTAAAAATCCACTTGGAAATTCTACAAAAAGAGGATGTCAAAACTCTTCTATCGAAAGGAAGTTTCAATTCCATGAGTTAAATGCACATATCACAAATAATTTTCTGAGGATTCTTCTTTCAAGTTTTATATGAAGAAATCCCGTTTCCAAAGTTGGCCTCAGAAAAGTCCCAATATACACTTGCAGATTCTACAAAAAGAGTTTTTCAAAACTGCTCAATCAAAAGGAAGGTTAAACTCTGTGAGTTGAAGGCACACATCACAGAGTTGTTTCTGAGAATCATTCTGTCTAGTTTTTCTAGGAAGATATTGCCTTTTCCACCATAAGCCTCAAACGGCGCCAAATATCCACTTGGAAATTCTACAAAAAGAGAGTCACAAAAGTGCTCTATCGAAAGGAAGCTTCAACGCTGCGAGTTGAAAGCACACATCACGAAGAAGTTTATGAGAATTCTTGTGTCTACTTTTGTATGAAGCAGTCACGTTTCAAACGAAGGCCACAAAGAGGTCCAAATACCCACTTGGAGATTCAACAAAAAGAGTTTTTCAAAACTGCTCCATCAAGAGGAATATTCAACTCTGAGAGTTGAAGACAGGTATCACCAAGTAGTTTCCGACAATGCTTCTGTCTAGATTTTATGTGAGGACATTCCCTTTTGTACCACAGGCCTGAAAGCACTCTAAATATAGAATTGCAAATTCCACAAAAAGAGTGTTTAAAACCGCTCGATCCAAAGAAAGGTTAAACTCTGTAAGCTGAATGAGCACATCACAAAGTAGCTTCAGAGAACAATTATGTCTAGTTTTTCCGTGAAGATAGTTTCTCTTCCACATAGGCCTGAGACGGCTCTAAATATTCACTTGGAAATTCTGCAAAAAGAATATTTCAACACTCTTCTATCAAAAGGAAGGTTGAACTCTGAGAGTTAAACGCACACATCACAGAGAAGTTTCTGAGAATTCTTCTGTCAAGGTTTATATGAAGAAATCCCGTTTCCAATGAAGGCCTCAAAAAAGTCCAAATATTTACTTGCAGATTCTACAAAAAGAGTGTTTCATACCTGGTCTATCAAAAGAAAGGTTAAACTCCGTGAGTTGAACGCACACATCACAAAGTTATTTCTGAGAATCATTCTGTCTAGTTTTCCTACGAAGATATTGCCTTTTCTACCATAGGCCCCAAACGGCGCTAAATATCCACCTGGAAATTCTACAAAAACTGAGTTTCAAAAGTGCTCTATTGAAAGGAAGCTTCAACTCTGTGAGTTGAAGGTACACATCACAAAGAAGTTTCTGAGAATTCTTCTGTCTAGTTGTAAATGAAGAAATCACGTTTCAAACGAAGGCCACAAAGAGGTCCAAATATCCACCTGCAGATTCTGCAAAAAGAGGGTTTCAAAACTGCTCCATCAAGAGGAATGTTCAACTCTGTGCGTTGAATGCAAATATCACAAATAAGTTTCTGACAATACTTCTGTCTAGTTTTTAGGTGAAGATATTTCCTTTCCTACTGTAGGCCTCAAAACGCTCTAAATATACACTTGCAAATTCCACAAAAAGAGTGTTTCAAAAATGCTCTATCAAAGGAAGTTTAAACTCTGTCAGCTGAATGCAAGCATCACAAAACAGCTTCGGAGAATGAATCTGCCTAGTTTTTCTGTGAAGATATTTCTTTTTCTGCCATAGACCTCAAACCGCTGTGAAAATCCACTTGGAAATCCTACGAAAAGAGTATGTCAAAACTCTTCTATCGAAAGGAAGTTTCAACTCCATGAGTTAAATGCACATACCACAAATAATTTTCTGAGGATTCTTCTTTCAAGTTTTATATGAAGAAATCCCGTTTCCAAAGATGGCCTCAGAAAAGTCCCAATATACACTTGCATATACTACAAAAAGAGTTTTTCAAAACTGCTCTATCAAAAGAAAGGTTAAACTCTGTGAGTTGAAGGCACACATCACAAAGTAGTTTCTGAGAATCATTCTGTCTCGTTTTTCTATGAAGATATTGCCTTTTCCACAATAGGCCTCAAACGGCGCTAAATATCCACTTGGAAATTCTACAAAAAGAGAGTTACTAAACTGCTCTATCGAAAGGAAGCTTCAACGCTGCGAGTTGAAAGCACACATCACGAAGAAGTTTATGAGAATTCTTCTGTCTACTTTTGTATGAAGCAGTCACGTTTCAAACGAAGGCCACAAGGAGGTCCAAATATCCACTTGGAGATTCAACAACAAGAGTTTTTCAAAACTGCTCCGTCAAGAGGAATATTCAACTCTGAGAGTTGAAGGCAGGTATCACAAAGTAGTTCCCGACAATGCTTCTGTCTAGATTTTAAGTGAAGACATTTCCTTTTGTACCACAGGCCTGAAAGCACTCTAAATATAGAATTGCAAATTCCACAAAAAGAGTGTTGAAAACCGCTCTATCCAAAGAAAGGTTAAACTCTGTCAGCTGAATGCGCACATCACAGAGCAGCTTCAGAGAACAGTTATGTCTAGTTTTTCTGTGAAGATAGGTTCTCTTCTACATAGGCCTGAAACCGCTCTAAATATTCACTTGGAAATACTACAAAAAGAATATTTCAACACTCTTCTATCAAAAGGAAGGTTGAACTCTGAGAGTTAAACGCACACATCACAGAGAAGTTTCTGAGAATTCTTCTGTCAAGGTTTCTATGAAGATATCCCGTTTCCAATGAAGGCCTCAAAAAAGTCCAAATATTTACTTGCAGATTCTACAAGAAGAGTGTTTCGTAACTGGTCTATCAAAAGAAAGGTTAAACTCAGTGAGTTGAACCCACACATCTCAAAGTAGTTTCTGAGAATCATTGTGTCTAGTTCTCCTACGAAGATATTGCCTTTTCTACCATAGGCCTCAAACGGCGCAAAATATCCACCTGGAAATTCTACCAAAACTGAGTTTCAAAAGTGCTCTATTGAAAGGAAGCTTCACCTCTGTGAGTTGAAGGTACACATCACAAAGAAGTTTCTGAGAATTCTTCTGTCTAGTTGTAAATGAAGAAATCACGTTTCAAACGAAGGCCACAAAGAGGTCCAAATATCCACTTGCAGATTCTACAAAAAGAGTGTTTCAAAACTGCTCCATCACGAGGAATGTTCAACTCTGTGCGTTGAATGCAAATATCACAAATAAGTTTCTGACAATACTTTCTGTCTAGTTTTTAGGTGAAGATATTTCCTTTCCTACTGTAGGCCTCAAAACGCTCTAAAGAGAAACTTGCAAATTCCACAAAAAGAGTGTTTCAAAACTGCTCTATCAAAGGAAGTTTAAACTCTGTCAGCTGAATGCAAGCATCACAAAACAGCTTCGGAGAATGAATCTGCCTAGTTTTTCTGTGAAGATATTTCTTTTTCTGCCATAGACCTCACACCGCTGTAAAAATCCACTTGGAAATTCTACAAAAAGAGTATTTCAAAACTCTTCTATCGAAAGGAAGTTTCAACTCCATGAGTTAAATGCACATATCACAAATAATTTTCTGAGGATTATTCTTTCAAGTTTTATATGAAGAAATCCCGTTTCCAAAGATGGCCTCAGAAAAGTCCCAATATACACTTGCAGATTCTACAAAAAGCGTTTTTCAAAACTGCTCTACCAAAAGGAAGGTTAAACTCTGTGAGTTGAAGGCACACATCACAAAGTAGTTTCTGAGAATCATTCTGTCTAGTTTTTCTATGAAGATATTGCCTTTTCCACCATAGGCCTCAAACGGCGCTAAATATCCACTTGGAAATTCTACAAAAAGAGAGTTACTAAACTGCTCTATCGAAAGGAAGCTTCAACGCTGCGAGTTGAAAGCACACATCACGAAGAAGTTTATGAGAATTCTTCTGTCTAGTTTTGTATGAAGAAGTCACGTCTCAAACGAAGGCCACAAAGAGGTCCAAATATCCACTTGGAGATTCCACAAAAAGAGTTTTTCAAAACTGCTCCGTCAAGAGGAATATTCAACTCTGAGAGTTGAGGGCAGGTATCACAAAGTAGTTTCCGACAACGCTTCTGTCTAGATTTTATGTGAAGACATTCCCTTTTGTACGACAGGCCTGAAAGCACTCTAAATATAGAATTGCAAATTCCACAAAAAGAGTGTTTAAAACCGCTCTATCCAAAGAAAGGTTAAACTCTGTCAGCTGAATGCGCACATCACAGAGTAGCTTCAGAGAACAATTATGTCTAGTTTTTCTGTGAAGATACTTTCTCTTCTACTTAGGCCTGAAAGCGCTCTAAATATTCACTTGGAAATTCTACAAAAAGAAAATTTCAACCCTCTTCTATCAAAAGGAAGGTTGAACTCTGAGAGTTAAATGCACACATCACAGAGAAGTTTCTGGGAATTCTTCTGTCAAGGTTTATATGAAGAGATCCCGTTTCCAATGAAGGCCTCAGAAAAGTCCAAATATTTACTTGCAGATTCTACAAAAAGAGTGTTTCATAACTGGTCTATCAAAAGAAAGGTTAAACTCCGTGAGTTGAACGCACACATCACAAAGTTGTTTCTGAGAATCATTCTGTCTAGTTTTTCTACGAAGATATTGCCTTTTCCACCATAGGCCTCAAACGGCGCTAAATATCCACCTGGAAATTCTACAGAAACTGAGTTTCAAAAGTGCTCTATTGAAAGGAAGCTTCAACTCTGTGAGTTGAAAGTACACATCACAAAGAGGTTTCTGAGAATTCTTCTGTCTAGTTGTAAATGAAGAAATCACGTTTCACAGGAAGGCCACAAAGAGGTCCAAATATCCACTTGCAGATTCCACAAAAAGAGTGCTTCAAAACGGCTCCATCAAGAGGAATGTTCAACTCCGTGCGTTGAATGCAAATATCACAAATAAGTTTCTGACAATACTTCTGTCTAGCTTTTATGTGAAGATATTTCCTTTCCTATTGTAGGCCTCAAAACGCTCTAAATATACACTTGCAAATTCCACAAAAAGAGTGTTTCCAAACTGCTCTATCAAAAAAAGTTTAAACTCTGTCAGCTTAATGCAAGCATCACAAAACAGCTTCGGAGAATGAATCTGCCTAGTTTTTCTGTGAAGATATTTCTTTTTCTGCCATAGACCTCAAACCGCTGTAAAAATCCACTTGGAAATTCTACAAAAAGAGTTTTTCAAAGCTCTTCTATCGAAAGGAAGTTTCAGCTCCATGAGTTAAATGCACATATCACAAATAATTTTCTGAGGATTCTTCTTTCAAGTTTTATATGAAGAAATCCCGTTTCCAAAGTTGGCCTCAGAAAAGTCCCAATATACACTTGCAGATTCTACAAAAAGAGTTTTTTAAAACTGCTCTATCAAAAGGAAGGTTAAACTCTGTGAGTTGAAGGCACACATCACTGAGTAGTTTCTGAGAATCATTTCTGTCTAGTTTTTCTATGAAGATATTGCCTTTTCCACCATAGGCCTCAAACGGCGCTAAATATCCACTTGGAAATTCTACAAAAATAGGGTTACAAAACTGCTCTATCGAAAGGAAGCTTCAACTCTGCGAGTTGAAGCACACATCACAAAGAAGTTTATGAGAATTCTTCTGTCTAGTTGTAAATGAAGAAATAACGTTTCAAACGAAGGCCACAAAGAGGTCCAAATATCCACTTGGAGATTCAACAAAAAGAGTTTTTCAAAACTGCTCCATCAAGAGGAATATTCAACTCTGAGAGTTGAAGGCAGGT
Organism: Homo sapiens; assembly: GCF_000001405.40. Classification (NCBI taxonomy): domain Eukaryota; kingdom Metazoa; phylum Chordata; class Mammalia; order Primates; family Hominidae; genus Homo; species Homo sapiens. Next base: position 91,101,252 of record NC_000003.12, on the reverse strand, counting down.
ATCCCAAAGTAGTTCCCGACAATGCTTCTGTCTAGATTTTAGGTGAAGACATTCCCTTTTGTACCACAGGCCTGAAAGCACTCTAAATACAGAATTGCAAATTCCACAAAAAGAGGGTTTAAAACCGCTCTATCCTAAGAAAGGTTAAACTCTGTCAGCTGAATGCGCACATCACAGAGTAGCTTCAGAGAACAATTATGTCTAGTTTGTCCGTGAAGATAGTTTCTCTTCCACATAGGCCTGAGACCGCTCTAAATATTCACTTGGAAATTCTGCAAAAAGAATATTTCAACACTCTTCTATCAAAAGGAAGGTTGAACTCTGAGAGTTAAATGCACACATCACAGAGAAGTTTCTGAGAATTCTTCTGTCAAGGTTTATATGAAGAGATCCCGTTTCCAATGAAGGCCTCAAAAAAGTCCAAATATTTACTTGCAGATTCTACAAAAAGAGTGTTTCATAACTAGTCTATCAATAGAAAGGTTAAACTCCGTGAGTTGAACGCACACATCACAAAGTTGTTTCTGAGAATCATTCTGTCTAGTTCTCCTGCGAAGATATTGCCTTTTCTACCATAGGCCTCAAACGGCGCTAAATATCCACCTGGAAATTCTACCAAAACTGAGTTTCAAAAGTGCTCTATTGAAAGGAAGCTTCACCTCTGTGGGTTGAAGGTACACATCACAAAGAAGTTTCTGAGAATTCTTCTGTCTAGTTGTAAATGAAGAAATCACGTTTCAAACGAAGGCCACAAAGAGGTCCAAATATCCACCTGCAGATTCTGCAAAAAGAGGGTTTCAAAACTGCTCCATCAAGAGGAATGTTCAACTTTGTGCGTTGAATGCAAATATCACAAATAAGTTTCTGACAATACTTCTGTCTAGTTTTTATGTGAAGATATTTCCTTTCCTACTGTAGGCCTCAAAACGCTCTAAATATACACTTGCAAATTCCACATAAAGAGTGTTTCCAAACTGCTCTATCAAAGGAAGTTTAAACTCTGTCAGCTTAATGCAAGCATCACAAAACAGCTTCGGAGAATGAATCTGCCTAGTTTTTCTGTGAAGATATTTCTTTTTCCGCCATAGACCTCAAACCGCTGTAAAAATCCACTTGGAAATTCTACAAAAAGAGTATTTCAAAACGCTTCTATCGAAAGGAAGTTTCAACTCCATGAGTTAAATGCACATATCTCAAATAATTTTCTGAGGATTCTTCCTTCAAGTTTTATACGAAGAAATCCCGTTTCCAAAGATGGCCTCAGAAAATTCCCAATATACACTTGCAGATTCAACAAAAAGAGTTTTTCAAAAGTGCTCTATCAAAAGAAAGGTGAAACTCTGTGAGTTGAAGGCACACATCACAATGTAGTTTCTGAGAATCATTCTGTCTAGTTTTTCTAGGAAGATATTGCCTTTTCCACCATAAGCCTCAAACGGCGCCAAATATCCACTTGGAAATTCTACAAAAAGAGAGTCACAAAAGTGCTCTATCGAAAGGAAGCTTCAACGCTGCGAGTTGAAAGCACACATCACGAAGAAGTTTATGAGAATTCTTGTGTCTACTTTTGTATGAAGCAGTCACGTTTCAAACTAAGGACACAAAGAGGTCCAAATACCCACTTGGAGATTCAACAAAAAGAGTTTTTCAAAACTGCTCCATCAAGAGGAATATTCAACTCTGAGAGTTGAAGGCAGGTATCACAAATTAGTTTCCGACAATGCTTCTGTCTAGATTTTATGTGAGGACATTCCCTTTTGTACCACAGGCCTGAAAGCACTCTAAATATAGAATTGCAAATTCCACAAAAAGAGTGTTTAAAACCGCTCGATCCAAAGAAAGGTTAAACTCTGTAAGCTGAATGCGCACATCACAAAGTAGCTTCAGAGAACAATTATGTCTAGTTTCTCTGTGAAGATATTTTCTCTTCTACATAGGCCTGAAACCGCTCTAAATATTCACTTGGAAACTCTAGAAAAAGAATATTTCAACACTCTTCTGTCAAAAGAAAGGTTGAACTCTGAGAGTTAAATGCACACATCACAAAGAAGTTTCTGGGAATTCTTCTGTCAAGGTTTACATGAAGAAACCCCGTTTCCAATGAAGGCCTCCAAAAAGTCCAAATATTTACTTGCCGATTCCACAAAAAGAGTGTTTCATAACTGGTCTATCAAAAGAAAGGTTAAACTCAGTGAGTTGACCCCACACATCACAAAGTAGCTTCTGAGAATCATTGTGTCTAGTTCTCCTACGAAGATATTGCCTTTTCTACCATAGGCCTCAAACGGCGCTAAATATCCACCTGGAAATTCTACCAAAACTGAGCTTCAAAAGTGCTCTATTGAAAGGAAGCTTCACCTCTGTGAGTTGAAGGTACACATCACAAAGAAGTTTCTGAGAATTCTTCTGTCTAGTTGTAAATGAAGAAATCACGTTTCACACGAAGGCCACAAAGAGGTCCAAATATCCACTTGCAGATTCTACAAAAAGAGTGTTTCAAAACGGCTCCATCAAGAGGAATGTTCAACTCTGTGCTTTGAATGCAAATATCACAAATAAGTTTCTGACAATACTTCTGTCTAGTTTTTAGGTGAAGATATTTCCTTTCCTACTGTAGGCCTCAAAGCGCTCTAAATATACACTTGCAAATTCCACAAAAAGAGTGTTTCCAAACTGCTCTATCAAAGGAAGTTTAAACTCTGTCAGCTGAATGCAAGCATCACAAAACAGCTTCGGAGAATGAATCTGCCTAGTTTTTCTGTGAAGATATTTCTTTTCCTGGCATAGACCTCAAACCGCTGTAAAAATCCACTTGGAAATTCTACAAAAAGAGTATTGCAAAGCTCTTCTATCGAAAGGAAGTTTCAAATCCATGAGTTAAATGCACATATCACAAATAATTTTCTGAGGATTCTTCTTTCAAGTTTTATATGAAGAAATCCCGTTTCCAAAGTTGGCCTCAGAAAAGTCCCAATATGCACTTGCAGATTCTACAAAAAGAGTTTTTCAAAACTGCTCTATCAAAAGGAAGGTTAAACTCTGTGAGTTGAAGGCACACATCACACAGTAGTTTCTGAGAATCATTCTGTCTAGTTTTTCTATGAAGATATTGCCTTTTCCACCATAGGCCTCAAACGGCGCTAAATATCCACTTGGAACTTCTACAAAAAGAGAGTTACTAAACTGCTCTATCGAAAGGAAGCTTCAACGCTGCGAGTTGAAAGCACACATCACGAAGAAGTTTATGAGAATTCTTCTGTCTACTTTTGTATGAAGCAGTCACGTTTCAAACGAAGGCCACAAAGAGGACCAAATATCCACTTGGAGATTCAACAAAAAGAGTTTTTCAAAAATGCTCCTTCAAGAGGAATATTCAACTCTGAGAGTTGAAGGCAGGTATCACAAAGTAGTTCCCGACAATGCTTCTGTCTAGATTTTATGTGAAGACATTCCCTTTTGTACCACAGGCCTGAAAGCACTCTAAATATAGAATTGCAAATTCCACAAAAAGAGTGTTTAAAACTGCTCTATCCAAAGAAAGGTTAAACTCTGTAAGCTGAATGCGCACATCACAAAGTAGCTTCAGAGAACAATTATGTCTAGTTTTTCCGTGAAGATAGTTTCTCTTCCACATAGGCCTGAGACCGCTCTAAATATTCACTTGGAAATTCTGCAAAAAGAATATTTCAACACTCTTCTATCAAAAGGAAGGTTGAACTCTGAGAGTTAAACGCACACATCACAGAGAAGTTTCTGAGAATTCTTCTGTCAAGGTTTATATGAAGAAACCCCGTTTCCAATGAAGGCCTCAAAAAAGTCCAAATATTTACTTGCCGATTCCACAGAAAGAGTGTTTCATAACTGGTCTATCAAAAGAAAGGTTAAACTCAGTGAGTAGAACCCACACATCACAAAGTAGCTTCTGAGAATCATTGTGTCTAGTTCTCCTACGAAGATATTGCCTTTTCTACCATAGGCCTCAAACGGCGCTAAATATCCACCTGGAAATTCTACCAAAACTGAGCTTCAAAAGTGCTCTATTGAAAGGAAGCTTCACCTCTGTGAGTTGAAGGTACACATCACAAAGAAGTTTCTGAGAATTCTTCTGTCTAGTTGTAAATGCAGAAATCACATTTCAAACGAAGGCCACAAAGAGGTCCAAATATCCAGCTGCAGATTCTGCAAATTAGGGTTTGAAAACTGCTCCATCAAGAGGAATGTTCAACTCTGTGCGTTGAATGCAAATATCACAAATAAGTTTCTGACAATATTTCTGTCTAGTTTTTATGTGAAGATATTTCCTTTCCTACTGTAGGCCTCAAAACGCTCTAAATATACACTTGCAAATTCCACAATAAGAGTGTTTCCAAACTGCTCTATCAAAGGAAGTTTAAACTCTGTCAGCTTAATGCAAGCATCACAAAACAGCTTCGGAGAATGAATCTGCCCAGTTTTTCTGTGAAGATATTTCTTTTGCTGCCATAGACCTCACACCGCTGTAAAAATCCACTTGGAAATTCTACAGAAAGAGTATTTCAAAACTCTTCTATCGAAAGGAACTTTCAACTCCATGAGTAAAATGCACATATCACAAATAATTTTCTGAGGATTCTTCTTTCAAGTTTTATATGAAGAAATCCCGTTTCCAAAGATGGCCTCAGAAAAGTCCCAATATACACTTGCAGATTCTACAAAAAGAGTTTTTCAAAACTGCTCTACCAAAAGGAAGGTTAAACTCTGTGAGTTGAAGGCACACATCACAAAGAAGTTTCTGAGAATCATTCTGACTAGTTTTTCTATGAAGATATTGCCTTTTCCACCATAGGCCTCAAACGGCGCTAAATATCCACTTGGAAATTCTACAAAAAGAGAGTTACAAGACTGCTCTATCGAAAGGAAGCTTCAACTCTGCGAGTTGAAAGCACACATCACGAAGAAGTTTATGAGAATTCTTCTGTCTACTTTTGTATGAAGCAGTCACGTTTCAAACGAAGGCCACGAAGAGGTCCAAATATCCACTTGGAGATTCAACAAAAAGAGTTTTACAAAACTGCTCCATCAAGAGGAATATTCAACTCTGAGAGTTGAAGGCAGGTATCACAAAGTAGTTCCCAACAATGCTTCTGTCTAGAATTTATGTGAAGACATTCCCTTTTGTCCCACAGGCCTGAAAGCACTCTAAATATACAATTGCAAATTCCACAAAAAGAGTGTTGAAAACCGCTCTATCCAAAGAAAGGTTAAACTCTGTCAGCTGAATGCGCACATCACAGAGCAGCTTCAGAGCACAATTATGTCTAGTTTCTCTGTGAAGATATTTTCTCTTCTACATAGGCCTGAAACCGATCTTAATATTCACTTGGAAATTCTACAAAAAGAATATTTCAACACTCTTCTATCAAAAGGAAGGTTGAACTCTGAGAGTTCAATGCACACATCACAAAGAAGTTTCTGGGAATTCTTCTGTCAAGGTTTCTATGAAGAAATCCCGTTTCCAATGAAGGCCTCAAAAAAGTCCAAATATTTACTTGCAGATTCTACAAAAAGAGTGTTTCATAACTGGTCTATCAAAAGAAAGGTTAAACTCAGTGAGGTGAACCCACACATCACAAAGTAGTTTCTGAGAATCATTGTGTCTAGTTCTCCTACGAAGAATATTGCCTTTTCTACCATAGGCCTCAAACGGCGCAAAATATCCACCTGGAAATTCTACCAAAACTGAGTTTCAAAAGTGCTCTATTGAAAGGAAGCTTCACCTCTGTGAGTTGAAGGTACACATCACAAAGAAGTTTCTGAGAATTCTTCTGTCTAGTTGTAAATGAAGAAATCACGTTTCACATGAAGGCCACAAAGAGGTCCAAATATCCACTTGCAGAATCCACAAAAAGAGTGCTTCAAAACGGCTCCATCAAGAGGAATGTTCAACTCCGTGCGTTGAATGCAAATATCACAAATAAGTTTCTGACAATACTTCTGTCTAGATTTTATGTGAAGACATTCCCTTTTGTACCACAGGCCTGAAAGCACTCTAAATATAGAATTGCAAATTCCACAAAAAGAGTGTTTCCAAACTGCTCTATCAAAGGAAGTTTAAACTCTGTCAGCTTAATGCAAGCATCACTAAACAGCTTCGGAGAATGAATCTGCCTAGTTTTTCTGTGAAGATATTTCTTTTCCTGCCATAGACCTCAAACCGCTGTAAAAATCCACTTGGAAATTCTACAAAAAGAGTATTGCAAAGCTCTTCTATCGAAAGGAAGTTTCAAATCCATGAGTTAAATGCACATATCACAAATAATTTTCTGAGGATTCTTCTTTCAAGTTTTATATGAAGAAATCCCGTTTCCAAAGATGGCCTCAGAAAAGTCCCAATATACACTTGCAGATTCTACAAAAAGAGTTTTTCAAAACTGCTCTATCAAAAGAAAGGTTAAACTCTTGTGAGTTTAAGGCACACATCACAAAGTAGTTTCTGAGAATCATTCTGTCTAGTTTTTCTATGAAGATATCGCCTTCTCCACCATAGGCCTCAAGCGGCGCTAAATATCCACTTGGAAATTCTACAAAAAGAGAGTTACAAGACTGCTCTATCGAAAGGAAGCTTCAACTCTGCGAGTTGAAAGCACACATCACGAAGAAGTTTATGAGAATTCTTCTGTCTACTTTTGTATGAAGCAGTCACGTTTCAAACGAAGGCCACAAAGAGGTCCAAATATCCACTTGGAGATTCAACAAAAAGAGTTTCTCAAAACTGCTCCATCAAGAGGAATATTCAACTCTGAGAGTTGAAGGCAGGTATCCCAAAGTAGTTCCCGACAATGCTTCTGTCTAGATTTTATGTGAAGACATTCCCTTTTGTACCACAGGCCTGAAAGCACTCTAAATATAGAATTGCAAATTCCACAAAAAGTGTGTTGAAAACCGCTCTATCCAAAGAAAGGTTAAACTCTGTCAGCTGAATGCGCACATCACAGAGTAGCTTCAGAGAACAATTATGTCTAGTTTTTCCGTGAAGATAGTTTCTCTTCCACATAGGCCTGAGACCGCTCTAAATATTCACTTGGAAATTCTGCAAAAAGAATATTTCAACACTCTTCTATCAAAAGGAAGGTTGAACTCTGAGAGTTAAACGCACACATCACAGAGAAGTTTCTGAGAATTCTTCTGTCAAGGTTTATATGAAGAAACCCCGTTTCCAATGAAGGCCTCAAAAAAGTACAAAAATTTACTTGCAGATTCCACAAAAAGAGTGTTTCATAACTGGTCTATCAAAAGAAAGGTGAAACTCAGTGAGTTGAACCCACACATCACAAAGTAGCTTCTGAGAATCATTGTGTCTAGTTCTCATACGAAGATATTGCCTTTTCTACCATAGGCCTCAAACGGCGCTAAATATCCACCTGGAAATTCTACCGAAACTGAGTTTCAAAAGTGCTCTACTGAAAGGAAGCTTCACCTCTGTGAGTTGAAGGTACACATCACAAAGAAGTTTCTGAGAATTCTTCTGTCTAGTTGTAAATGCAGAAATCACGTTTCAAACGAAGGCCACAAAGAGGTCCAAATGTCCAGCTGCAGATTCTGCAAAAAGAGGGTTTCAAATCTGCTCCATCAAGAGGAATGTTCAACTCTGTGCGTTGAATGCAAATATCACAAATAAGTTTCTGACAATACTTCTGTCTAGTTTTTATGTGAAGATATTTCCTTTCCTACTGTAGGCCTCAAAACGCTCTAAATATACACTTGCAAATTCCACAAACAGAGTGTTTCCAAACTGCTCTATCAAAGGAAGTTGAAACTCTGTCAGCTTAATGCAAGCATCACAAAACAGCTTCGGAGAATGAATCTGCCTAGTTTTTCTGTGAAGATATTTCTTTTGCTGCCATAGACCTCACACCGCTGTAAAAATCCACTTGGAAATTCTACAAAAAGAGTATTTCAAAACTCTTCTATCGAAAGGAAGTTTCAACTCCATCAGTTAAATGCACATATCACAAATAATTTTCTGAGGATTCTTCTTTGAAGTTTTATATGAAGAAATCCCGTTTCCAAAGAGGGCCTCAGAAAAGTCCCAATATACCCTTGCAGATTCTACAAAAAGAGTTTTTCAAAACTGCTCTATCCAAAGAAAGGTTAAACTCTGTGAGTTGAAGGCACACATCACAAAGTAGTTTCTGAGAATCATTCTGTCTAGTTTTTCTATGAAGATATTGCCTTTTCCACCATAGGCCTCAAACGGCGCTAAATATCCACTTGGAAATTCTACAAAAAGAGAGTTACTAAACTGCTCTATCGAAAGGAAGCTTCAACGCTGCGAGTTGAAAGCACACATCACGAAGTAGTTTATGAGAATTCTTCTGTCTACTTTTGTATGAAGCAGTCACGTTTCAAACGAAGGCCACAAAGACGTCCAAATATCCACTTGGAGATTCAACAAAAAGAGTTTTACAAAACTGCTCCATCAAGAGGAATATTCAATTCTGAGAGTTGAAGGCAGGTATCACAAAGTAGTTTCCGACAATGCTTCTGTCTAGATTTTATGTGAGGACATTCCCTTTTGTACCACAGGCCTGAAAGCACTCTAAATATAGAATTGCAAATTCCACAAAAAGAGTGTTTAAAACCGCTCTATCCAAAGAAAGGTTAAACTCTGTAAGCTGAATGCGCACATCACAAAGTAGCTTCAGAGAACAATTATGTCTAGTTTTTCTGTGAAGATATTTTCTCTTCTACTTAGGCCTGAAACCGCTCTAAATATTCACTTGGAAATTCTACAAAAAGAATATTTCAACCCTCTTCTATCAAAAGGAAGGTTGAACTCTGAGAGTTAAATGCTCACATCACAGAGAAGTTTCTGGGAATTCTTCTGTCAAGGTTTATATGAAGAAACCCCGTTTCCAATGAAGGCCTCAAAAAAGTCCAAAAATTTACTTGCAGATTCCACAAAAAGAGTGTTTCATAACTGGTCTATCAAAAGAAAGGTTAAACTCAGTGAGTTGAACCCACACATCACAAAGTAGCTTCTGAGAATCATTCTGTCTAGTTCTCCTACGAAGATATTGCCTTTTCTAGCATAGGCCTCAAACGGCGTTAAATATCCACCTGGAAATTCTACCTAAACTGAGTTTCAAAAGTGCTCTATTGAAAGGAAGCTTCACCTCTGTGAGTTGAAGGTACACATCACAAAGAAGTTTCTGAGAATTCTTCTGTCTAGTTGTAAATGAAGAAATCACGTTTCCCACGAAGGCCACAAAGAGGTCCGAATATCCACTTGCAGATTCCACAAAAAGAGTGCTTCAAAACGGCTCCATCAAGAGGAATGTTCAACTCTGTACGTTGAATGCAAATATCACAAATAAGTTTCTGACAATACTTCTGTCTAGTTTTTAGGTGAAGATATTTCCTTTCCTACTGTAGGCCTCAAAACGCTCTAAATATACACTTGCAAATTCCACAAAAAGAGTGTTTCCAAACTGCTCTATCAAAGGAAGTTTAAACTCTGTCAGCTGAATGCAAGCATCACAAAACAGCTTCGGAGAATGAATCTGCCTAGTTTTTCTGTGAAGATATTTCTTTTTCTGCCATAGACCTCAAACCGCTGTAAAAATCCACTTGGAAATTCTACAAAAAGAGTATTTCAAAACTCTTCTATCGAAAGGAAGTCTCAACTCCATGAGTTAAATGCACATATCACAAATAATTTTCTGAGGATTCTTCTTTCAAGTTTTATATGAAGAAATCCCGTTTCCAAAGATGGCCTCAGAAAAGTCCCAATATACACTTGCAGATTCTACAAAAAGAGTTTTTCAAAACTGCTCTATCAAAAGAAAGGTTAAACTCTGTGAGTTGAAGGCACACATCACAAAGTAGTTTCTGAGAATCATTCTTTCTAGTTTTTCTATGAGGATATTGCCTTTTCCACCATAGGCCTCAAACGGCACTAAATATCCACTTGGAAATTCTACAAAAAGAGAGTTACAGAACTGCTCTATCGAAAGGAAGCTTCAACGCTGCGAGTTGAAAGCACACATCACGAAGAAGTTTATGAGAATTCTTCTGTCTACTTTTGTATGAAGAAGTCACGTCTCAAACGAAGGCCACAAAGAGGTCCAAATATCCACTTGGAGATTCAACAAAAAGAGTTTTTCAAAACTGCTCCATCAAGAGGAACATTCAACTCTGAGAGTTGAAGGCAGGTATCACAAAGTAGTTTCCGACAATGCTTCTGTCTAGATTTTATGTGAAGACATTCCCTTTTGTACCACAGGCCTGAAAGCACTCTAAATACAGAATTGCAAATTCCACAAAAAGAGGGTTTAAAACCGCTCTATCCGAAGAAAGGTTAAACTCTGTCAGCTGAATGCGCACATCACAGAGTAGCTTCAGAGAACAATTATGTCTAGTTTTTCTTGTGAAGATAGTTTCTCTTCTACATAGGCCTGAAACCGCTCTAAATATTCACTTGGAAATTCTACAAAAAGAATATTTCAACACTCTTCTATCAAAAGGAAGGTTGAACTCTGAGAGTTAAACGCACACATCACAGAGAAGTTTCTGAGAATTCTTCTGTCAAGGTTTATATGAAGAAACCCCGTTTCAAATGAAGGCCTCAAAAAAGTCCAAATATTTACTTGCAGATTCCACAAAAAGAGTGTTTCATAACTGGTCTATCAAAAGAAAGGTGAAACTCAGTGAGTTGAACCCACACATCACAAAGTAGCTTCTGAGAATCATTCTGTCTAGTTCTCCTACGAAGATATTGCCTTTTCTACCATAGGCCTCAAACGGCGCTAAATATCCACCTGGAAATTCTACCAAAACTGAGCTTCAAAAGTGCTCTATTGAAAGGAAGCTTCACCTCTGTGAGTTGAAGGTACACATCACAAAGAAGTTTCTGAGAAGTCTTCTGTCTAGTTGTAAATGAAGAAATCACGTTTCAAACGAAGGCCACAAAGAGGTCCAAATATCCACCTGCAGATTCTGCAAAAAGAGTGTTTCAAAACTGCTCCATCAAGAGGAATGTTCAACTCTGTGCGTTGAATGCAAATATCACAAAGAAGTTTCTGACAATACTTCCGTCTAGTTTTTATGTGAAGATATTTCCTTTCCTACTGTAGGCCTCAAAACGCTCTAAAGAGACACTTGCAAATTCCACAAAAAGAGGGTTTCAAAACTGCTCTATCAAAGTAAGTTTAAACTCTGTAAGCTGAATGCAAGCATCACAAAACAGCTTCGGAGAATGAATCTGCCCAGTTTTTCTGTAAAGATATTTCTTTTGCTGCCATAGTCTTCACACCGCTGTAAAAATCCACTTGGAAATTCTACAAAAAGAGTATTTCAAAACTCTTCTATCGAAAGGAAGTTTCAACTCCATGAGTTAAATGCACATATCACAAATAATTTTCTGAGGATTCTTCTTTCAAGTTTTATATGAAGAAATCCCGTTTCCAAACATGGCCTCAGAAAAGTCCCAATATACACTTGCAGATTCTACAGAAAGAGTTTTTCAAAACTGCTCTATCAACAGAAAGGTTAAACTCTGTGAGTTGAAGGCACACATCACAAAGTAGTTTCTGAGAATCATTCTGTCTAGTTTTTCTGTGAAGATATTGCCTTTTCCACCATAGGCCTCAAACGGCGCTAAATATCCACTTGGAAATTCTACAAAAAGAGGGTTACAAAACTGCTCTGTCGAAAGGAGGCTTCAACTCAGCGAGTTGAAAGCACACATCACGACGAAGTTTATGAGAATTCTTCTGTCTACTTTTGTATGAAGCAGTCACGTTTCAAACGAAGGCCACAAAGAGGTCCAAATATCCACTTGGAGATTCAACAAAAAGAGTTTTTCAAAACTGCTCCGTCAAGAGGAATATTCAACTCTGAGAGTTGAAGGCAGGTATCACAAAGTAGTTCCCGGCAATGCTTCTGTCTAGATTTTATGTGAAGACATTCCCTTTTGTACCACAGGCCTGAAAGCACTCTAAATATAGAATTGCAAATTCCACAAAAAGAGTGTTTCCAAACTGCTCTATCAAAGGAAGTTTAAACTCTGTCAGCTTAATGCAAGCATCACTAAACAGCTTCGGAGAATGAATCTGCCTAGTTTTTCTGTGAAGATATTTCTTTTTCTGCCATAGACCTCAAAGCGCTGTAAAAATCCACTTGGAAATTCTACAAAAAGAGTATTTCAAAACTCTTCTATCGAAAGGAAGTCTCAACTCCATGAGTTAAATGCACATATCACAAATAATTTTCTGAGGATTCTTCTTTCAAGTTTTATATGAAGAAATCCCGTTTCCAAAGATGGCCTCAGAAAAGTCCCAATATACACTTGCAGATTCTACAAAAAGAGTTTTTCAAAACTGCTCTACCAAGAGGAAGGTTAAACTCTGTGAGTTGAAGGCACACATCACAAAGTAGTTTCTGAGAATCATTCTGTCTAGTTTTTCTACGAAGATATTGCCTTTTCCACCATAGGCCTCAAACGGCGCTAAATATCCACTTGGAAATCCTACAAAAAGTGAGTTACAGAACTGCTCTATCGAAAGGAAGCTTCAACGCTGCGAGTTGAAAGCACACATCACGAAGAAGTTGATGAGAATTCTTCTGTCTACTTTTGTATGAAGCAGTCACGTATCAAACGAAGGCCACAAAGAGGTCCAAATATCCACTTGGAGATTCATCAAAAAGAGTTTTACAAAACTGCTCCATCAAGAGGAATATTCAACTCTGAGAGTTGAAGGCAGGTATCACAAAGTAGTTCCCAACAATGCTTCTGTCTAGATTTTATGTGAAGACATTCCCTTTTGTACCACAGGCCTGAAAGCACTCTAAATATAGAATTGCAAATTCCACAGAAAGAGTGTTTGAAACCGCTCTATCCAAAGAAAGGTTAAACTCTGTCAGCTGAAGGCGCACATCACAAAGTAGCTTCAGAGAACAATGATGTCTAGTTTTTCGGTGAAGATAGATTCTCTTCTACATAGGCCTGAGACCGCTCTAAATATTCACTTGGAAATTCTACAAAAAGAATATTTCAACACTCTTCTATCAAAAGGAAGGTTGAACTCTGAGAGTTAAACGCACACATCACAGAGAAGTTTCTGAGAATTCTTCTGTCAAGGTTTATATGAAGAAACCCCGTTTCCAATGAAGCCCTCAAAAAAGTCCAAATATTTACTTGCCGATTCCACAGAAAGAGTGTTTCATAACTGGTCTATCAAAAGAAAGGTGAAACTCAGTGAGTTGAACCCACACATCACAAAGTAGCTTCTGAGAATCATTCTGTCTAGTTTTCCTACGAAGATATTGCCTTTTCTACCATAGGCCTCAAACGGTGCTAAATATCCACCTGGAAATTCTACAAAAACTGAGTTTCAAAAGTGCTCTATTGAAAGGAAGCTTCAACTCTGTGAGTTGAAGGTACACATCACAAAGAAGTTTCTGAGAATTCTTCTGTCTAGTTGTAAATGAAGAAATCACGTTTCAAACGAAGGCCACAAAGAGGTCCAAATATCCACCTGCAGATTCTGCAAAAAGAGTGTTTCAAAACTGCTCCATCAAGAGGAATGTTCAACTCTGTGCGTTGAATGCAAATATCACAAGTAAGTTTCTGACAATACTTTCTGTCTAGCTTTTATGTGAAGATATTTCCTTTCCTACTGTAGGCCTCAAAACACTCTAAATATACACTTGCAAATTCCACAAAAAGAGTGTTTCCAAACTGCTCTATCAAAGGAAGTTTAAACTCTGTCAGCTTAATGCAAGCATCACAAAACAGCTTCGGAGAATGAATCTGCCTAGTTTTTCTGTGAAGATATTTCTTTTGCTACCATAGACCTCAAACCGCTGTAAAAATCCACTTGGAAATTCTACAAAAAGAGTATTTCAAAACTCTTCTATCGATAGGAAGTTTCAACTCCATGAGTTAAATGCACATATCACAAATAATTTTCTGAGGATTCTTCTTTCAAGTTTTATATGAAGAAATCCCGTTTCCAAAGATGGCCTCAGAAAAGTCCCAATATACACTTGCAGATTCTACAAAAAGAGTTTTTCAAAACTGCTCTATCAAAAGAAAGGTTAAACTCTTGTGAGTTTAAGGCACACATCACAAAGTAGTTTCTGAGAATCATTCTGTCTAGTTTTTCTATGAAGATATTGCCTTTTCCACCATAGGCCTCAAACGGCGCTAAATATCCACTTGGAAATTCTACAAAAAGAGAGTTACTAAACTGCTCTATCGAAAGGAAGCTTCAACGCTGCGAGTTGAAAGCACACATCACGAAGAAGTTTATGAGAATTCTTCTGTCTACTTTGGTGTGAAGCAGTCACGTTTCAAACGAATGCCACAAAGAGGTCCAAATATCCACTTGGAGATTCAACAAAAAGAGTTTTTCAAAACTGCTCCATCAAGAGGAATATTCAACTCTGAGAGTTGAAGGCAGGTATCCCAAAGTAGTTCCCAACAATGCTTCTGTCTAGATTTTATGTGAAGACATTCCCTTTTGTACCACAGGCCTGAAAGCACTCTAAATATAGAATTGCAAATTCCACAGAAAGAGTGCTTAAAACCGCTCTATCCAAAGAAAGGTTAAACTCTGTCCGCTGAAGGCGCACATCACAAAGTAGCTTCAGAGAACAATTATGTCTAGTTTCTCTGTGAAGATATTTTCTCTTCTACATAGGCTTGAAACCGCTCTAAATATTCACTTGGAAATTCTACAAAAAGAATATTTCAACACTCTTCTATCAAAAGGAAGGTTGAACTCTGAGAGTTAAATGCACACATCACAAAGAAGTTTACTGGGGATTCTTCTGTCAAGGTTTATATGAAGAAACCCCGTTTCCAATGAAGGCCTCAAAACAGTCCAAATATTTACTTGCAGATTCCACAGAAAGAGTGTTTCATAACTGGTCTATCAAAAGAAAGGTTAAACTCAGTGAGTTGAACCCACACATCACAAAGTAGCTTCTGAGAATCATTCTGTCTAGTTTTCCTACGAAGATATTGCCTTTTCTACCATAGGCCTCAAACGGCGCTAAATATCCACCTGGAAATTCTACAAAAACTGAGTTTCAAAAGTGCTCTATTGAAAGGAAGCTTCAACTCTGTGAGTTGAAGGTACACATCACAAAGAAGTTTCTGAGAATTCTTCTGTCTAGTTGTAAATGCAGAAATCACGTTTCAAACGAAGGCCACAAAGAGGCCCAAATATCCAGCTGCAGATTCTGCAAAAAGAGGGTTTCAAATCTGCTCCATCAAGAGGAATGTTCAACTCTGTGCGTTGAATGCAAATATCACAAATAATTTTCTGACAATACTTCTGTCTAGCTTTTATGTGAAGATATTTCCTTTCCTACTGTAGGCCTCAAAACGCTCTAAATATACACTTGCAAATTCCACAAAAAGAGTGTTTCCAAACTGCTCTAACAAAAAAAGTTTAAACTCTGTCAGCTTAATGCAAGCATCACAAAACAGCTTCGGAGAATGAATCTGCCTAGTTTTTCTGTGAAGATATTTCTTTTGCTGCCATAGACCTCAAACCGCTGTAAAAATCCACTTGGGAATTCTACAAAAAGAGTATTTCAAAACTCTTCTATCGAAAGGAAGTTTCAACTCCATGAGTTAAATGCACATATCACAAATAATTTTCTGAGGATTCTTCTTTCAAGTTTTATATGAAGAAATCCCGTTTCCAAAGATGGCCTCAGAAAAGTCCCAATATACACTTGCAGATTCTACAAAAAGAGTTTTTCAAAACTGCTCTATCAAAAGAAAGGTTAAACTCTGTGAGTTGAAGGCACACATCACAAAGTAGTTTCTGAGAATCATTCTGTCTAGTTTTTCTAGGAAGATATTGCATTTTCCACCATAAGCCTCAAACGCCGCCAAATATCCACTTGGAAATTCTACAAAAAGAGAGTCACAAAACTGCTCTATCGAAAGGAAGCTTCAACGCTGCGAGTTGAAAGCACACATCACGAAGAAGTTTATGAGAATTCTTCTGTCTACTTTTGTATGAAGCAGTCACGTTTCAAACGAAGGCCACAAAGAGGTCCAAATATCCACTTGGAGATTCAACAAAAAGTGTTTTACAAAACTGCTCCATCAAGAGGAATATTCAACTCTGAGAGTTGAAGGCAGGTATCACAAAGTAGTTCCCGACAATGCTTCTGTGTAGATTTTATGTGAAGACATTCCCTTTTGTACCACAGGCCTGAAAGCACTCTAAGTATAGAATTGCAAATTCCAAAAAAAAGAGTGTTTAAAACCGCTCTATCCAAAGAAAGGTTAAACTCTGTCAGCTGAATGCGCACATCACAGAGCAGCTTCAGAGAACAATTATGTCTAGTTTTTCTGTGAAGATATTTTCTCTTCTACATAGGACTGAAACCGCTCTAAATATTCACTTGGAAATTCTACAAAAAGAATATTTCAACCCTCTTCTATCAAAAGGAAGGTTGAACTCTGAGAGTTAAATGCACACATCACAGAGAAGTTTCTGGGAATTCTTCTGTCAAGGTTGATATGAAGAAACCCCGTTTCCAATGAAGGCCTCAAAAAAGTCCAAATATTTACTTGCCGATTCCACAGAAAGAGTGTTTCATAACTCGTCTATCAAAAGAAAGGTTAAACTCAGTGAGTTGAACCCACACATCACAAAGTAGCTTCTGAGAATCATTGTGTCTTGTTCTCCTACGAAGATATTGCCTTTTCTACCATAGGCCTCAAACGGCGCTAAATATCCACCTGGAAATTGTACCAAAACTGAGCTTCAAAAGTGCTCTATTGAAAGGAAGCTTCACCTCTGTGAGTTGAAGGTACACATCACAAAGAAGTTTCTGAGAATTCTTCTGTCTAGTTTTAAATGAATAAATCACGTTTCAAACGAAGGCCACAAAGAGGTCCAAATATTCACTTGCAGATTCTACAAAAAGAGTGTTTCAAAACTGCTCCATCACGAGGAATGTTCAACTCTGTGCGTTGAATGCAAATATCACAAATAAGTTTCTGACAATACTTCTGTGTAGTTTTTATGTGAAGATATTTCCTTTCCTACTGTAGGCCTCAAAACGCTCTAAATATACACTTGCAAATTCCACATAAAGAGTGTTTCCAAACTGCTCTCTCAAAGGAAGTTTAAACTCTGTCCGCTTAATGCAAGCATCACAAAAGAGCTTCGGAGAATGAATCTGCCTTGTTTTTCTGTGAAGATATTTCTTTTTCTGCCATAGACCTCAAACCGCTGTAAAAATCCACTTGGAAATTCTACAAAAAGAGGATGTCAAAACTCTTCTATCGAAAGGAAGTTTCAATTCCATGAGTTAAATGCACATATCACAAATAATTTTCTGAGGATTCTTCTTTCAAGTTTTATATGAAGAAATCCCGTTTCCAAAGATGGCCTCAGAAAAGTCCCAATATACACTTGCAGATTCTACAAAAAGAGTTTTTCAAAACTGCTCTATCAAAAGAAAGGTTAAACTCTGTGAGTTGAAGGCACACATTACAAAGTAGTTTCTGAGAATCATTCTGTCTAGTTTTTCTATGAAGATATCGCCTTCTCCACCATAGGCCTCAAGCGGCGCTAAATATCCACTTGGAAATTCTACAAAAAGAGAGTTACAAGACTGCTCTATCGAAAGGAAGCTTCAACTCTGCGAGTTGAAAGCACACATCACGAAGAAGTTTATGAGAATTCTTCTGTCTACTTTTGTATGAAGAAGTCACGTCTCAAACGAAGGCCACAAAGAGGTCCAAATATCTACTTGGAGATTCAACAAAAAGAGTTTTTCAAAACTGCTCCATCAAGAGGAACATTCAACTCTGAGAGTTGAAGGCAGGTATCACAAAGTAGTTTCCGACAATGCTTCTGTCTAGATTTTATGTGAGGACATTCCCTTTTGTACCACAGGCCTGAAAGCACTCTAAATATAGAATTGCAAATTCCACAAAAAGAGTGTTTAAAACCGCTCGATCCAAAGAAAGGTTAAACTCTGTAAGCTGAATGAGCACATCACAAAGTAGCTTCAGAGAACAATTATGTCTAGTTTTTCTGTGAAGATATTTTCTCTTCTACTTAGGCCTGAAACCGCTCTAAATATTCACTTGGAAATTCTACAAAAAGAATATTTCAACCCTCTTCTATCAAAGGGAAAGTTGAACTCTGAGAGTTAAATGCACACATCACAGAGAAGTTTCTGGGAATTCTTCCGTCAAGGTTTATATGAAGAAACCCCGTTTCCAATGAAGGCCTCAAAAAAGTCCAAAAATTTACTTGCAGATTCCACAAAAAGAGTGTTTCATAACTGGTCTATCAAAAGAAAGGTTAAACTCAGTGAGTTGAACCCACACATCACAAAGTAGCTTCTGAGAATCATTGTGTCTAGTTCTCCTACGAAGATATTGCCTTTTCTACCATAGGCCTCAAACGGCGCTAAATATCCACCTGGAAATTCTACCAAAACTGAGCTTCAAAAGTGCTCTATTGAAAGGAAGCTTCACCTCTGTGAGTTGAAGGTACACATCACAAAGAAGTTTCTGAGAATTCTTCTGTCTAGTTGTAAATGAAGAAATCACGTTTCAAACGAAGACCACAAAGAGGTCCAAATATCCACCTGCAGATTCTACAAAAAGAGTGTTTCAAAACTGCTCCATCAAGAGGAATGTTCAACTCTGGGCGTTGAATGCAAATATCACAAGTAAGTTTCTGACAATACTTCTGTGTAGCTTTTATGTGAAGATATTTCCTTTCTTATTGTAGGCCTCAAAACGCTCTAAATATACACTTGCAAATTCCACAAAAAGAGTGTTTCCAAACTGCTCTATCAAAGGAAGTTTAAACTCTGTCCGCTTAATGCAAGCATCACAAAACAGCTTCGGAGAATGAATCTGCCTAGTTTTTCTGTGAAGATATTTCTTTTTCTGCCATAGACCTCAAACCGCTGTAAAAATCCACTTGGAAATTCTACAAAAAGAGAATTTCAAAGCTCTTGTATCGAAAGGAAGTTTCAACTCCATGAGTTAAATGCACATATCGCAAATAATTTTCTGAGGATTCTTCTTTCAAGTTTTATATGAAGAAATCCCGTTTCCAAAGATGGCCTCAGAAAAGTCCCAATATACACTTGCAGATTCTACAAAAAGAGTTTTTCAAAACTGCTCTACCAAAAGGAAGGTTAAACTCTGTGAGTTGAAGGCACACATCACAAAGTAGTTTCTGAGAATCATTCTGTCTAGTTTTTCTATGAAGATATTGCCTTTTCCACCATAGGCCTCAAACGGCACTAAATATCCACTTGGAAATTCTACAAAAAGAGGGTTACAAAACTGCTCTATCAAAAGGAAGCTTCAACTCTGCGAGTTGAAAGCACACATCACGAAGAAGTTTATGAGAATTCTTCTGTCTACTTTTGTATGAAGCAGTCACGTTTCAAACGAAGGCCACAAAGAGGTCCAAATATCCACTTGGAGATTCAACAAAAAGAGTTTTTCAAAACTGCTCCGTCAAGAGGAATATTCAACTCTGAGAGTTGAAGGCAGGTATCACAAAGTAGTTCCCGGCAATGCTTCTGTCTAGATTTTATGTGAAGACATTCCCTTTTGTACCACAGGCTTGAAAGCACTCTAAATATAGAACTGCAAATTCCACAAAAACAGTGTTGAAAACCGCTCTATCCAAAGAAAGGTTAAACCCTGTCAGCTGAATGCGCACATCACAGAGCAGCTTCAGAGAACAGTTATGTCTAGTTTTTCTGTGAAGATAGTTTCTCTTCTACATAGGCCTGAAACTGCTCTAAATATTCACTTGGAAATTCTACAAAAAGAATATTTCAACACTCTTCTATCAAAACGAAGGTTGAACTCTGAGAGTTAAACGCACACATCACAGAGAAGTTTCTGAGAATTCTTCTGTCAAGGTTTATATGAAGAAACCCCGTTTCCAATGAAGGACTCAATAAAGTCCAAACATTTACTTGCCGATTCCACAGAAAGAGTGTTTCATAACTCGTCTATCAAAAGAAAGGTTAAACTCAGTGAGTTGAACCCACACATCACAAAGTAGCTTCTGAGAATCATTCTGTCTAGTTTTTCTACGAAGATATTGCCTTTTCCACCATAGGCCTCAAACGGCGCTAAATATCCACCTGGAAATTCTACAGAAACTGAGTTTCAAAAGTGCTCTATTGAAAGGAAGCTTCAACTCTGTGAGTTGAAAGTACACATCACAAAGAAGTTTCTGAGAATTCTTCTGGCTAGTTGTAAATGAAGAAATCACGTTTCACACGAAGGCCACAAAGAGGTCCAAATATCCACTTGCAGATTCCACAAAAAGAGTGCTTCAAAACGGCTCCATCAAGAGGAATGTTCAACTCCGTGCGTTGAATGCAAATATCACAAATAAGTTTCTGACAATACTTCTGTCTAGTTTTTAGGTGAAGATATTTCCTTTCCTACTGTAGGCCTCAAAACGCTCTAAATATACACTTGCAAATTCCACAAAAAGAGTGTTTCAAAACTGCTCTATCAAAGGAAGTTTAAACTCTGTCAGCTGAATGCAAGCATCACAAAACAGCTTCGGAGAATGAATCTGCCTAATTTTTCTGTGAAGATATTTCTTTTTCTGCCATAGACCTCAAACCGCTGTAAAAATCCACTTGGAAATTCTACAAAAAGAGTATTTCAAAGCTCTTCTATCGAAAGGAAGTTTCAGCTCCATGAGCTAAATGCACATATCACAAATAATTTTCTGAGGATTCTTCTTTCAAGTTTTATATGAAGAAATCCCGTTTCCAAAGATGGCCTCAGAAAAGTCCCAATATACACTTGCAGATTCTACAAAAAGAGTTTTTCAAAACTGCTCTATGAAAAGGAAGATTAAACTCTGTGAGTTGAAGGCACACATCACAGAGTAGTTTCTGAGAATCATTCTGTCTAGTTTTTCTATGAAGATATTGCCTTTTCCACCATAGGCCTCAAACGGCGCTAAATATCCACTTGGAAATTCTACAAAAAGAGAGTTACAGGACTGCGTCTATCGAAAGGAAGCCTCAACTCTGTGAGTTGAAAGCAGACATCCCAAAGAAGTTTATGAGAATTCTTCTGTCTACTTTTGTATGAAGAAGTCACGTCTCAAACGAAGGCCACAAAGAGGTCCAAATATCCACTTGGAGATTCAACAAAAAGAGTTTTTCAAAACTGCTCCATCAAGAGGAACATTCAACTCTGAGAGTTGAAGGCAGGTATCACAAAGTAGTTCCCGACAATGCTTCTGTCTAGATTTTATGTCAGGACATTCCCTTTTGTACCACAGGCCTGAAAGCACTCTAAATATAGAATTGCAAATTCCACAAAAAGAGTGTTTAAAACCGCTCTATCCAAAGAAAGGTTAAACTCCTGTAAGCTGAATGCGCACATCACAAAGTAGCTTCAGAGAACAATTATGTCTAGTTTTTCCGTGAAGATAGTTTCACTTCCACATAGGCCTGAGACGGCTCTAAATATTCACTTGGAAATTCTGCAAAAAGAATATTTCAACACTCTTCTATCAAAAGGAAGGTTGAACTCTGAGAGTTAAACGCACACATCACAGAGAAGTTTCTGAGAATTCTTCTGTCAAGGTTTATATGAAGAAACCCCGTTTCCAATGAAGGCCTCAAAAAAGTCCAAAAATTTACTTGCAGATTCCACAAAAAGAGTGTTTCATAACTGGTCTATCAAAAGAAAGGTTAAACTCAGTGAGTTGAACCCACACATCACAAAGTAGCTTCTGAGAATCATTCTGTCTAGTTTTTCTACGAAGATATTGCCTTTTCCACCATAGGCCTCAAACGGCGCTAAATATCCACCTGGAAATTCTACAGAAACTGAGTTTCAAAAGTGCTCTATTGAAAGGAAGCTTCAACTCTGTGAGTTGAAAGTACACATCACAAAGAAGTTTCTGATAATTCTTCTGTCTGGTTGTAAATGCAGAAATCACGTTTCAAACGAAGGCCACAAAGAGGTCCAAATATCCACCTGCAGATTCTACAAAAAGAGTGTTTCAAAACTGCTCCATCAAGAGGAATGTTCAAATCAGTGCGTTGAAGGCAAATATCACAAGTAAGTTTCTGACAATACTTCTGTGTAGTTTTTATGTGAAGATATTTCCTTTCCTACTGTAGGCCTCAAAACGCTCTAAATATACACTTGCAAATTCCACAAAAAGAGTGTTTCCAAACTGCTCTCTCAAAGGAAGTTTAAACTCCGTAAGCTGAATGCAAGCATCACAAAACAGCTTCAGAGAATGAATCTGCCTAGTTTTTCTGTGAAGATATTTCTTTTTCTGCCATAGACCTCTAACCGCTGTAAAAATCCACTTGGAAATTCTACAAAAAGAGTATTTCAAAGCTCTTCTATCGAAAGGAAGTTTCAACTCCATGAGTTAAATGCACATATCACAAATAATTTTCTGAGGATTCTTCTTTCAAGTTTTATATGAAGAAATCCCGTTTCCAAACATGGCCTCAGAAAAGCCCCACTATACACTTGCAGATTCTACAGAAAGAGTTTTTCAAAACTGCTCTATCAAAAGGAAGGTTAAACTCTGTGAGTTGAAGGCACACATCACAAATTAGTTTCTGAGAATCATTCTGTCTAGTTTCTCTATGAAGATATTGCCTTTTCCACCATAGGCCTCAAACGGCGCTAAATATCCACTTGGAAATTCTACAAAAAGAGGGTTACAAAACTGCTCTATCGAAAGGAAGCTTCAACTCTGCGAGTTGAAAGCACACATCACGAAGAAGTTTATGAGAATTCTTCTGTCTACTTTTGTATGAAGCAGTCACATTTCAAACGAAGGCCACAAAGAGGTCCAAATATCCACTTGGAGATTCAACAAAAAGAGTTTTTCAAAACTGCTCCATCAAGAGGAATATTCAACTCTGAGAGTTGAAGGCAGGTATCACAAAGTAGTTTCCGACAATGCTTCTGTCTAGATTTTATGTGAAGACATTCCCTTTTGTACCACAGGCCTGAAACCACTCTAAATATAGAATTGCAAATTCCACAAAAAGAGTGTTGAAAACCGCTCTATCCAAAGAAAGGTTAAACTCTGTCAGCTGAATGCGCACATCACAGAGCAGCTTCAGAGAACAGTTATGTCTAGTTTTTCTGTGAAGATAGTTTCTCTTCTACATAGGCTTAAAACCCCTCTAGATATTCACTTGGAAATTTTACAAAAGGAATATTTCAACACTCTTCTATCAAAAAGAAGGTTGAACTCTGAGAGTTAAAGGCACACATCACAGTGAAGTTTCTGAGAATTCTTCTGTCAAGGTTTATATGAAAAAATCCCGTTTCCAATGAAGGCCTCAAAAAAGTCCAAATATTTACTTGCAGATTCTAGAAAAAGAGTGTTTCATAACTGGTCTATCAAAAGAAAGGTTAAACTCCGTGAGTTGAACGCACACATCACAAAGTTGTTTCTGAGAATCATTCTGTCTAGTTCTCCTATGAATATATTGCCTTTTCTACCATAAGCCTCAAACGGCGCAAAACATCCACCTGGAAATTCTACCAAAACTGAGTTTCAAAAGTGCTCTATTGAAAGGAAGCTTCATCTCTGTGAGTTGAAGGTACACATCACAAAGAAGTTTCTGAGAATTCTTCTGTCTAGTTGTAAATGAAGAAATCACGTTTCACACGAAGGCCACAAAGAGGTCCAAATATCCACTTGCAGATTCCACAAAAAGAGTGCTTCAAAACGGCTCCATCAAGAGGAATGTTCAACTCCGTGCGTTGAATGCAAATATCACAAATAAGTTTCTGGCAATACTTCTGTGTAGTTTTTATGTGAAGATATTTCCTTTCCTACTGTAGGCCTCAAAACGCTCTAAAGATACACTTGCAAATTCCACAAAAAGAGTGTTTCCAAACTGCTCTATCAAAGGAAGTTTAAACTCTGTCCGCTTAATGCAAGCATCACAAAACAGCTTCGGAGAATGAATCTGCCTAGTTTTTCTGTGAAGATATTTCTTTTGCTGCCATAGACCTCAAACCGCTGTAAAAATCCACTTGGACATTCTACAAAAAGAGTATTTCAAAACTCTTCTATCGAAAGGAAGTTTCAACTCCATGAGTTAAATGCACATATCACAAATAATTTTCTGAGGATTCTTCTTTCAAGTTTTAGAGGAAGAAATCCCGTTTCCAAAGATGGCCTCAGAAAAGTCCCAATATACACTTGCAGTTCTACAAAAAGAGTTTTTCAAAACTGCTCTATCAAAAGAAAGGTTAAACTCTGTGAGTTGAAGGCACACATCACAAAGTAGTTTCTGAGAATCATTCTGTCTAGTTTTTCTATGAAGATATCGCCTTCTCCACCATAGGCCTCAAACGGCGCTAAATATCCACTTGGAAATTCTACAAAAAGAGAGTTACAAGACTGCTCTATCGAAAGGAAGCTTCAACTCTGCGAGTGGAAAGCACACATCACGAAGAAGTTTATGAGAATTCTTCTGTCTACTTTTGTATGAAGCAGTCACGTTTCAAACGAAGGCCACAAAGAGGTCCAAATATCCACTTCGAGATTCAACAAAAAGAGTTTTTCAAAACTGCTCCATCAAGAGGAATATTCAAATCTGAGAGTTGAAGGCAGGTATCCCAAAGTAGTTCCCGACAATGCTTCTGTCTAGATTTTATGTGAAGACATTCCCTTTTGTACCACAGGCCTGAAAGCACTCTAAATATAGAATTGCAAATTCCACAGAAGGAGTGCTTAAAACCGCTCTATCCAAAGAAAGGTTAAACTCTGTCCGCTGAAGGCGCACATCACAAAGTAGCTGCAGAGAACAATTATGTCTAGTTTCTCTGTGAAGATATTTTCTCTTCTACGTAGGCCTGAAACCGCTCTAAATATTCACTTGGAAACTCTAGAAAAAGAATATTTCAACACTCTTCTGTCAAAAGGAAGGTTGAACTCTGAGAGTTAAATGCACACATCACAAAGAAGTTTCTGGGAATTCTTCTGTCAAGGTTTATATGAAGAAACCCCGTTTCCAATGAAGGCCTCAAGAAAGTCCAAATATTTACTTGCAGATTCTACAAAAAGAATGTTTCATAACTGGTCTATCAAAAGAAAGGTTAAACTCAGTGAGTTGAACACACACATAACAAGGTAGCTTCTGAGAATCATTGTGTCTAGTTCTCCTACGAAGATATTTCCTTTTCTACCATAGGCCTCAAACGGCGCTAAATATCCACCTGGAAATTCTACCAAAACTGAGTTTCAAAAGTGCTCTATTGAAAGGAAGCTTCACCTCTGTGAGTTGAAGGTACACATCACAAAGAAGTTTCTGAGAATTCTTCTGTCTAGTTGTAAATGAAGAAATCACGTTTCCCACGAAGGCCACAAAGAGGTCCAAATATCCACTTGCAGATTCCACAAAAAGAGTGCTTCAAAACGGCTCCATCAAGAGGAATGTTCAACTCCGTGCGTTGAATGCAAATATCACAAATAAGTTTCTGACAATACTTCTGTGTAGTTTTTATGTGAAGATATTTCCTTTCCTACTGTAGGCCTCAAAACCCTCTAAATATACACTTGCAAATTCCACAAAAACAGTGTTTCCAAACTGCTCTATCAAAGGAAGTTTAAACTCTGTCCGCTTAATGCAAGCATCACAAAACAGCTTCGGAGAATGAATCTGCCTAGTTTTTCTGGGAAGATATTTCTTTTTCTGCCATAGACCTCAAACCGCGGTAAAAATCCACTTGGAAATTCTACAAAAAGAGTATTTCAAAATTCTTCTATCGAAAGGAAGTCTCAACTCCATGAGTTAAATGCACATATCACAAATAATTGTCTGAGGATTCTTCTTTCAAGTTTTATATGAAGAAATCCCGTTTCCAAAGATGGCCTCAGAAAAGTCCCAATATACACTTGCAGATTCTACAAAAAGAGTTTTTCAAAACTGCTCTATCAAAAGAAAGGTTAAACTCTTGTGAGTTTAAGGCACACATCACAAAGTAGTTTCTGAGAATCATTCTGTCTAGTTTTTCTATGAAGATATTGCCTTTTCCACCATAGGCCTCAAACGGCGCTAAATATCCACTTGGAAATTCTACAAAAAGAGAGTTACTAAACTGCTCTATCGAAAGGAAGCTTCAACGCTGCGAGTTGAAAGCACACATCACCAAGAAGTTTATGAGAATTCTTCTGTCTACTTTTGTATGAAGAAGTCACCGTCTCAAACGAAGGCCACAAAGAGGTCCAAATATCCACTTGGAGATTCAACAAAAAGAGTTTTTCAAAACTGCTCCATCAAGAGGAATATTCAACTCTGAGAGTTGAAGGCAGGTATCACAAAGTAGTTTCCGACAATGCTTCTGTCTAGATTTTATGTGAGGACATTCCCTTTTGTACCACAGGCCTGAAAGCACTCTAAATATAGAACTGCAAATTCCACAAAAAGAGTGTTTAAAACCGCTCTATCCAAAGAAAGGTTAAACTCTGTAAGCTGAATGCGCACATCACAAAGTAGCTTCAGAGTACAGTTATGTCTAGTTTTTCTGTGAAGATAGTTTCTCTTCTACATAGGCCTGAAAGCGCTCTAAATATTCACTTGGAAATTCTACAGAAAGAATACTTCAACACTCTTCTATCAAAAGGAAGGTTGAACTCTGAGCGTTAAATGCACACACCACAGAGAAGTTTCTGGGAATTCTTCTGTCAAGGTTTATATGAAGAAACCCCGTTTCCAATGAAGGCCTCAAAAAAGTCCAAAAATTTACTTGCAGATTCCACAAAAAGAGTGTTTCATAACTGGTCTATCAAAAGAAAGGTTAAACTCAGTGAGTTGAACCCACACATCACAAAGTAGCTTCTGAGAATCATTGTGTCTAGTTCTCCTACGAAGATATTGCCTTTTCTACCATAGGCCTCAAACGGCGCTAAATATCCACCTGGAAATTCTACCAAAACTGAGCTTCAAAAGTGCTCTATTGAAAGGAAGCTTCACCTCTGTGAGTTGAAGGTACACATCACAAAGAAGTTTCTGAGAATTCTTCTGTCTAGTTGTAAATGAAGAAATCACGTTTCCCACGAAGGCCACAAAGAGGTCCAAATATCCACTTGCAGATTCCACAAAAAGAGTGCTTCAAAACGGCTCCATCAAGAGGAATGTTCAACTCCGTGCGTTGAATGCAAATTTCACAAATAAGTTCCTGACAATACTTCTGTGTAGTTTTTATGTGAAGATATTTCCTTTCCCTACTGTAGGCCTCAAAACGCTCTAAATATACACTTGCAAATTCCACAAAAAGAGTGTTTCCAAACTGCTCTATCAAAGGAAGTTTAAACTCTGTCCGCTTAATGCAAGCATCACAAAACAGCTTCGGAGAATGAATCTGCCTAGTTTTTCTGTGAAGATATTTCTTTTTCTGCCATAGACCTCAAACCGCTGTAAAAATCCACTTGGAAATTCTACAAAAACAGTATTTCAAAGCTCTTCTATCGAAAGGAAGATTCAGCTCCATGAGTTAAATGCACATATCACAAATAATTTTCTGAGGATTCTTCTTTCAAGTTTTATATGAAGAAATCCCGTTTCCCAAGATGGCCTCAGAAAAGTCCCAATATACACTTGCAGATTCTACAAAAAGAGTTTTTCAAAACTGCTCTATCAAAAGAAAGGTTAAACTCTGTGAGTTGAAGGCACACATCACAAAGTAGTTTCTCAGAATCATTCTGTCTAGTTTTTCTATGAAGATATTGCCTTTTCCACCATTGGCCTCAAACGGCGCTAAATATCCACTTGGAAATTCTACAAAAAGAGAGTTACAGAACTGCTCTATCGAAAGGAAGCTTCAACGCTGCGAGTTGAAAGCACACATCACGAAGAAGTTGATGAGAATTCCTCTGTCTACTTTTGTATGAAGAAGTCACGTCTCAAACGAAGGCCACAAAGAGGTCCAAATATCCACTTGGAGATTCAACAAAAAGAGTTTTTCAAAACTGCTCCATCAAGAGGAACATTCAACTCTGAGAGTTGAAGGCAGGTATCACAATGTAGTTTCCGACAATGCTTCTGTCTAGATTTTATGTGAAGACATTCCCTTTTGTACCACAGGCCTGAAAGCACTCTAAATATAGAATTGCAAATTCCACAGAAAGAGTGCTTAAAACCGCTCTATCCAAAGAAAGGTTAAACTCTGTCCGCTGAAGGCGCACATCACAAAGTAGCTTCAGAGAACAATGATGTCTAGTTTTTCTGTGAAGATAGTTTCTCTTCTACATAGGCCTGAGACCGCTCTAAATATTCACTTGGAAATTCTACAAAAAGAATATTTCAACACTCTTGTATCAAAAGGAATGTTGAACTCTGAGAGTTAAACGCACACATCACAGAGAAGTTTCTGAGAATTCTTCTGTCAAGGTTTATATGAGGAAACGCCGTTTCCAATGAAGGCCTCAAAAAAGTCCAAATATTTACTTGCCGATTCCACAAAAAGAGTGTTTCATAACTGGTCTATCAAAAGAAAGGTTAAACTCAGTGAGTTGAACCCACACATCACAAAGTAGCTTCTGAGAATCATTCTGTCTAGTTCTCCTACGAAGGTATTGCCTTTTCTACCATAGGCCTCAAACGGCGCTAAATATCCACCTGGAAATTCTACCAAAACTGAGTTTCAAAAGTGCTCTATTGAAAGGAAGCTTCACCACTTTGAGTTGAAGGTACACATCACAAAGAAGTTTCTGAGAATTCTTCTGTCTACTTGTAAATGAAGAAATCACGTTTCAAACGAAGGCC